>NW_011332694.1:0-210082 GCF_000001405.40 Homo sapiens
GAATTCAATGGAGTGGAGTGGAGTGGAATGGAATTGAATGGAGTGGAATGGAATCGAATGGAATGGAATGGGAAGGAATGGAATTGAACGGAGTGCAGTGGAGTGGAGTGGAATGGAATGCAATGGAATGGAATAGAATGGAATGGTGAAATGAAATGTGAGCTGAGATTCTGCAGTGCAATGCAGCCTGGGTGACCTAGTGTGATCCTGTCAAAAGAAAGAAATGGAATTGAATGGATTTAAAATAGAATGTAATGGAATTGAGTGGAGTGGAGTGGATTAACGTGGAGTGGAGTGGAGTGGAATTGAATGGGAAGGAATGGAATTGAATGGAGTGGAGTGGAATGAAATGCAATGGAATGGAATTAAATGGAATGGTGAAATGAAATGTGAGCTGAGATTGCGCACTGCACTTCAGCTTGGGAGAAAGAGTGAGATCCTGTCGAAAGAAAGGAAGGGAATGGAATGGATTTAGAATGCAATATAATGGAATGGATTTAGAATGGAATATAATGGAATGGAGTAGACTGGAGTGGAGTGGAGTGGTGGGGAATGGAGTGGAGTGGAATGGAGTGGAGTGGAATGGAATGGAATGGAATGGAAAGGAACGGAGTGGAAAGAAGTGAAATGGAGTGGGGTGGAATGGCATGGAATGGAGTCGAGTGTAGTGTAGTGGAAGGGAGTGGAGTGCAGTAGAATGGAATTGAGTGGAATGGAATGGAGTGGAATGGAATATAATGGAAGGGAATGGAATGGAGTGGAGTGGAATGGAGTGGAGTAGAGTGGAATGGAGTGGAGTGGAATGGAGTGGAATGGAATGGAATGGAATAGAATGGAATGGAATGGAATGGAATGGCATCGAATGGAATTCAATGGAATGTGGTGAAGTGGAGTGGAGTGGAATGGAGTGGAATGGAATGGGGTGGAATGAAATTTAATGGAGTGGAGTGAAGTGGAGTGGAATGGAGTGGAGTGGAATGGACTGGGAAGGAATGGAATTGAACCGAATGGAGTGGAGTGGAATGGTGTGGAATGGAATGCAATGGAATGGAATGGACTGGAATGGTGAAATGATATGTGAGCTGAGATTGTGCACTGCACTCCAACCTGGGTGACAGAGTGATATCCTGTCATAAGAAAGGAATGGAATGGAATGGATTTACAATGGAATGGAATGGAATGGAGTGTAGTGGAGTGGCGTGGAGTGGAGTGTAACGGAAAGGTATGGATTGTTATGGAATGGAATTCAATGGAGTGGAGTGGAGTGCTGTGGGGTGGAGTGGAGTGGAGTGGAATGGAGTGGAATGGCATGGGATGGAATGGAATGGAGTGGAGTTGAGTTGAGTGGAGTGGAAAGGTGTAGAATGGAATGGAGTGGAATGGAATGGAGTGGACTGGAATTGAGTGGAGTGGAATGGAATGGAGTGGAGTGGAGTGGAATGGAGTGGATTGGAGTGGAATGGAGTGGAGTGGAGTTTAGTGGAATGGAGTGGAGTGGAGTGGAATGGAGTGGAGTGGAGTTTAGTGGAATGGAGTGGAGTGGATTGGAATGAAAGGGAGTGGAGTGGAGTGGAATGGCGTGGAATGGAATGGAATGGAGTGGAGTGGAATGGAGTGGAGTGGAGTGGAATGGAATGGAATGCAATGGAGTGGAATGGAATGGAATGGAATGAAATGGAATGGAATGGCATGGAATGGTGAATTGAAATGTGAGCTGAGATTGTGCACTGCACTCCAGCCTGGGTGAGAGAGTGAGATCCTGTCGAAAGAAAGGAATGGAATGGAATGGATTTAGAATGGAATGGAATGAAATGGAATGGAATGGAATGGAATGGAATGTGGTGGAATGGAGTGGAGTGAAATGGAGTGGAATGGAGTGGAGTGCAGTGGAATGGAGTGGACTGGAGTGGAATGGAATGGAATGGAATGGAATGGAGTGGAGTGGAGTGGAATTGAATGGAGTGGAATGGAATGCAATGCGGTGAAGTGGAGTGCAGTGGAGTGGAATGAAGTGGAATGGAATGGGGTGGAATGGAATTGAATAGCGTGGAGTGGAATGGAGTGTAGTGGAATGGAATTTCGCTGTAGATAAAAACTAGTATTTCCGCCTACCATTGAGTGTACTTATAGCTAACCAAAACGGCACTCTGTCTCGGGAATACAGATTTGCCTAGAGGTATCCTATTGCAGTCAACGAAAGAGCAATGAGGGATAGAAAAGGTTAGTGATGGAGTGACCAAAGCTGCATTTTACAAAAAACAATGTAAAAACCTTACGGATTGGTTCTGCTAACTTACTACAGTTTACATTCCTCTCAGGTGGCAGAATTGTTGAGTTTTTTCTTAAGATAGAAAAGCAATTCAGATAATCTGAAATCTCCACAAGAAGGATAAGAAGCACAACGGAAACTGTTCTAGGCAGGAAGTCAATCTTTTCAACTGTCTGTGCTCCATAGAAACAATTGTCTGCACTGGGAGTCATATGCGGTACAGAAAACAGCCAGACCTCTGATCCTCTCATTTGTGATTTCAGAAGAAATTACCAGTCAACTGAGTAATTCACTGACTAAAGTATACATTTGGCACTGAAAGAGGTTAGACGGATAACTATTTGTATCACCATATTCATGAAGCTGGAATATTTTCCATTACTCGTATCACATCCGAATGGAAGATTTTAAAAGCTCTCTCATCTTGTAAGATGGATATGAAATAACATTTTCTGAAAAATGAAATCATTAACACACCTGCGAGGTGGATGGAAGAGAAAAAAAAGAATAATCAGCTTGAGTTCTTCTCCTTGATAAGACAACTCACTAAAAACATAGAGAGAAAAATACAAGTTTAAAATAATTAACCAGAAGAAGACAATTTTGGAGTTTTTAAATGGCTGATAAGATTTTAATTTGCTGCAAGTTGAAAATAAGTATATTACTTGTGTTTTAAGGCACATAATGAGCAATTATATCACACATGATAGATTCAGCAGTAAAATATTATCCGTTAACAGCTGGTACTCATAAAAGCATAGCACAATGTGAAGATGGAATTTGCTAAAATAAACCATCTTCTGAAAACTACTATTCTGTAAATTTAAAAACAAACTTTATATGTTATTTGTCTTATTTAATAGGTCTTTGATAAAAATGAGATATTTGAAAGTAGGTGCTACCTTAATTAGTTCTTTATATTAGACAGCTGGTTACAGTAATGCACAGTAAGGTGCTACATACAAATATTGCTAAATTTTCTGCATATACTATGTATTTAGCTTAAATTATTTGAAATTTTATAGTTAAAGTAATAAATGTATATTTAAATGTTTTGACACAAATTGCAAATATACCTTAAAAAGCGTCTTACACTCTAAATATTATTTGTCACCTATATATTTGTCTTTTCTCTAAAGGAAAGTTTCAATTTTTCCCTTGAAGCTTTAATTATTTCAGTCTATAAAACAAACTGATAATGTTCAAATTAACAGGAAAAAAAGGTTTACAGATATGTTCACAAGTATGCACTTGGAGTTTACATAATATATATAAATATATATACAAATATTTGTATATTATAAATAGATATACAAATATATGCTATATATATAAAAACTCCAGGAAAGGCAAGGTAGTCCACACGCCTATGCTGTCTTGAGGTTACAGAAAACACAGACCTGTACATAGGTCAATCAGCATTTGCAGAAGACAAGTGACGACAAGGAAGACAGAGGAGCCTGGCAGCAGAGGTTGTCTTGTTACACGGATGAAACCTCACAGGGAGCAGCCCTCCTCTTGGGAAGTATAGATAGGAAATGGTTTTTAGAAATGTAAACGTGCCAGACTCAGTTAATCTTTCCTAAACACAGACAAGGGAGTATCTCAGGGAAAGCCTGTCTATATCAATGCAGATTTTCTCTACAAATGAAAATCTCCCCAACAAACACAACTTTTCAGCTATTCTTGTAGAAGAAGCTATTTCCAGTCTTCCGTGTAGCCATCTTGAAATATGTCAAAAAGTTGGCCAGGCGCATGCCTGTAATCCCAGCATTTTGAGAGGCTGAAGTGGGTAGATCACCTGAAGTCAGGAGTTTGAGACCAGCCTGACCAACATGGTGAAAACCCGTCTCTACTAAATACAAAAAATTAGCCAAGTGTGGTGGCACATGCCTGTAATCTCAGCTACTTGGGAGGCTGAGCTAGGAGAATTACTTGAACCTGGGAGGCTGAGGTTGCAGTGAGCCAAGATTGTGCCATTGCACTCCAGCCTGGGCAATAAAAGCAAAACTCTATCTCAAAAAAAAAGGCATTTTAGGGTAATATTTTGAGTATCTTTACCTCCATATGTACAATAAATATTATTGTGATTTTTAATCTTTACTCTTCTGTGGAGAAAACACAGGTGTGATTTCTAGTGTAGCTGAACATCACATTTATTTGACAATATTGCACTTGTGTGTGTGTGTGTGTGTGTGTAGCTACTCTTTACCTTTGTTCTCACTTAATGATTAGATATTAACAATTAATTCAGTAACATGCATGTTTTGCAATTTTTCTCCATGTTATGCTTTAAATTAGATTAATCATGCCCCTATAATGTGTACACTTTAACCTTTGACTATAGGTCTCAATCTTACTTTGGCTCCTGTATTTGAATTTATGCTAATAAAGTCCTCAGCTAAAAAGGATTATATAAACTTATCTACATTTTTACTAGTATTCTGGTGTCATTTTAAATTATGTAATTAAATCAAATTTTAATTTGGATTATTGTTATCTGAGTTAAGGATCTAAATTTTTAATTTTCTTATAGATGTTACGTAACTATTTCTGAACCATATATTGACTAATCTGCCCTTTATATGATGTGCAGTATAAGAGCTTGGGATTGATTCATTTGCAAAGATGAATGCTTGAGAAGTAGATATTTAATCTTAACATTTCAAAGTCTACTCAATAACCTAGAATGGAAAAATAGCCTATAGGTTGAAAAACTCCTGTAGTGAAGAAAGAAAATAACTAATATAAAGTGACAATATAAATAAGTATTTATTTTATTATCACCCTGAAATTTGATAATACAAACATGTAATATCTACATATCATCCATATATCAGGTCATAAAAAATCAATACATTCTTCAAAAATTTAGCATAACAGAAAATGCACTCTCTCTCCTTGATGGAATTAAGTTACAAATAAAAGTAAAAATAAGTAGATAAGTAGATGGAAGTAGATGTTTAAAAACAAAGAAAAATATTTGTTTTGGATAACATAAAAACTCAATTGACAATTCCAATATTTCAAGAACTTTGGCTATCAACCGGTGGAGAGTTTTCCCCAGGAGACATTTGTCAATGTCTAGGGTTATTGTGGGGATGTCAAGACTGGTGGAGGTGTGAAATTTAGAGGTCAAACGAATCACCTAGCATTGCTTAGGGCAGCCTCCCACAACAAAGAATCCTCTGGTCCTAAAGGTAAGTACACCAAGGTTGAGAAACCATAATATAGAAAGTAAACATTATGTAGCTATTACAAGTGCTCAGGAAAACACATCAGTGCCCTCGAGGGGAAAAGTGTAAACACTTTAATTGCTGTACATGGTGACACAAATGCATGTTGTTAATCTAAGTGGAAGAGGCTGAAGCACAAAACGTAATTCAAAGAGTTTACTTGAGCCAAAATGGGGACAGCTGCCTGGAACAAACAGACCCAAGTATCCCTGGATATGAACTCCATTTGGAGCTTTGCAACAAGCAGTTTCTTAAAGGCAAAAAAGGGATAAGAAGTGGGATGATGCAAAGAGGTTTGTCACAAATTCTCATTGGCTTATGGAAATAACATTTATTAGTGACTGGCTATACACTGTTACACTATTATTGGGTGTGGATTATAGTGTCTGGTGAGGCGTTATTGGTTAATTTATAGCTACTGTGGCAACAACAAGCAGCCTAGATGAACACACAGCTCAAAGAGGAGCAGGACAGAACTGCTGTCTCATTTGAATAATTCTCTGGGCCTGATTATTTCAAAGGACTTGCGTTTCTCACATGAAAGTTATTTTCTTTTCTCAATGTCAATAAATGAGAATAAATAGACATAAAATAGATCTTTTCGAGGATGAAGTAAATGGAATAAAAAACAAAACCCAAGCTGACCAGAAATCATAGAGGGAAGAAAAGGTTATAAATATGTGGATTTTTCAAAGTGATTTTAAGCTATTAGGAATCAGTTAAATGTTGGGGGATTTTGTCTGAGTATAGGCTAAAGGAGAATGCCCCTTTTGCCTTCTGAAGTTTCCCTGAAAATCACTAATAGGAGGCAGATAAATAGTAGAAAAGGCATACAGGTTTCTGCAATGTGTGTACACTGGAGCCCTTAGAATGAAGACCCAGACACAAGATGGGTGCAGAAGCTTGTCTACCATATGAAGTTTACAGAAAGAATGGGGTCTTGGATCACATGGGAAAAAAAAAGGTTATGTGAGAAAAGGACGCTGACTAGCAACAGTGGACTTATTACGTAGGTGAAACCTCACTGGGAGCAGTCCTCAGAGAGAATAGAGAGAAAATGTTTCTTTCAGACCTTTGGAGACCTCAGACGCTCAGTTAAACTTTCCTAGATCCAGACAAGTTAGCAGACCTCAGAGAAAGCCTGGCTGCATCAAAGTAGGTTCTCTACAGATGCAAATCTCCCCAAGACAGCTTTGCAGCTAAGTTTGCATTTCCAGCCCTTCTGAATAGCCATTTTGAAATATATCAAGGAAATATATTTTGGGGTAAAATATATTGGATTCCTTCATACAGCTGTAAAACATACAGAAATAATTTTTGTCAATGTCTACTACAAATCCAATATAGCAGTAATTATAAAACCCACCAGATATTGAAGAAAAAATATGTAGAGTACATCACTTACAAATATTGATACTAAAATGCCAAATAAAATAAAAATAATATCCAACAATATTTGAAACAGTAAGACAAGAAATTGGCAAAAAAAAACAAACAAACAAATATCCACCTTGGGGATGAAAGTGTGATTCCAAATTTGGTGATCCAATAATTTTAATAATCATATTGATTACCCCAAATAAACAATAAATATGGGATTCTCAGTACATGCTAAAATATATTTGTTAAAATGTAATATTCATGTCTTTAAATATTTTAAATGCTATAAAGAGTCTGATATTCTATATGCAAACATGTATATGTCTATTAGAAGAAGAGAGACTTGGTTTTCATATGTTACTACATAAAGATAGAGAAGTGGATAGATTAATTTGCATATTCATAGAGAAAGCATAAAATAGAAATTTACTATCATACTTAAAGGAATTTAAATTCAACAATAAATTTTAAATATTTTTAACAGTTACATTATTATTAGATAATATAATCATTGTGAAAATATTCGATGCTAAAATAAGATAGAATGTCTAAACCTCAGTATTAAAACTAGTATAAATATTTGTTTGTTTATACAAGGAAAATTCAAGCTCAACCTAAAATTATATAGGAAATAAAAGAAAAATTTTAAGCGAGCTCTTTAATAACACAAACATATATATATATGTATATATATATATATATATACACACATATAACATGTATATATGTTATATGGGATAGATATAGATTTAACATGTTATATCTATATTTGTATCTATCTATGACTACAGCTGTATGTATCTACATTTCTATATATTTACTCAGTGATATAAATATAGACTGGAATAAATATAAAGGCACATATGATTCTTGGATAAAAAGGATTTAGTATCATAAAGACAAATTCTTTCCAAAATCACCTATGATTTCACAACAATATACAGGTTCATTAGTATAATTTAAAATTTCTAAATAAATTCCAAGATTCATTTAAGGGAATATACACGTATACCAGCAGCAAAGAAAGAAGTAAGAGTGCACTAAACTAACTTGCTATTAAAATACATTTTTAAACTTAGTAACTAAAACTGAGAAGTACTGATTTGGAGTACTGGAATTTAGGTATATGGGATCTCAAACGCATAGAGCTCAAAGGAGACCCCTGTATGCCCGAGAGCTTAGGACGTGCTTTAGAAGGCATTACCAAGCCACGGGCAAAGTTACTTTAGTGTCTTAGTCTTACTAGGTTTGAAAAGCCAGAGAAAAGACTCAAGGCCACCATATAAGAGCAAAACAAAAGGACAGGGAGAGAATGTGAAGATACTGAAACATTTTACGTAAAGTTGTATAAAACATACTTTAAAGAAAATGTAAAGTTTAGGATATACATCAAAATCAGCAAAACCACTTAATAAATAAATAGGCATTGTAAAGTAGCAAGAGAAAATTTAAATGGATTTCTAAAAAATATTGACACCTATGATTTTTAAAATATGTTTAAGAAATCCCGTATTTCACAGGGCAGTTTTTCACAACATAGATATATTAGGACATAAAGGTCCTTCTGTTTTTAATTTACTAGTGTTTATAGGGTTAAAATTGTCTTCTATCTTTGTCTTTTGTCTGATGGTGCAAAAAAATTTCATAAGCATGTACTTCTGAATGCCTGATAGATTGACATATATAATATGCTGCTAGTATTAAAATATGTGACAGAAAACGCATCCAAACTTCTTACTGTTTGCATAAATTCTAGGTTTCTACTATTTACCTCAAGCACGTATGGAGTGAATTCTTACCTTTTAATATTGCCATGGCATTCACATTGAATGTAACTTGAACTCTCTCATATGGTAGCTGGGTTCAGATTCCCTTGACAATTCTCAGTTCTAACCCTCACAGTTCCTCAGTGTGGCTGGCCCAGATATTGACCCTACACAGTTGCCTCCTCCTGGTGACTACCCGCTATGGAACCATTGGATACAACCTACCTGACTCACCCCACAGACCTCACAGCCCACATGGACAGCCCCCACACTCCAGAGTGACCTGCTCAGTTGCAGCAGGAGCCAAGAAATATGCCTGCTGGCACTCACCCCACTGACTAGAGCCCCGTGGAAAACTTGTAATGTTCTGGGCCCAATAAAGGCTGGAGTCCCACAGACCCCTTTTCTCTCTATTGCTCCCCACTCGTCTTCCCCATTTTGTTCAGCCCTATGAGGTGTGCTACTGTATTAGTCCATTTTCACACCACCGGTAAAGACATGCCCAAGACTGGGTAATTTCCAGAAGAAAGAGGTTTAATAGACACATGGTTCCACATGGCTGGGTAGGCCACACAATCATGGCGGATGGTGAAAGGCACGTCTCACATGGCAGCAGACAAGACAAGAGAGCTTGTGCAGGGAAACTCCCCTTTATAAAACCATCAGATCTTGTGAGACTTATTCACTATCAGAAGAACAGCATGGGAAAGACCTGCCCCCATGATTCAATTACCTCCCACCTGTTCCCTCCCACAACATGTAGGAATTCAAGATGAGATTTGGCTGGGGACACAGCTAAACCCTCTTCTCAGCTACCCTCTTCTCTCTGGATCTGTGAGTAATAAAACCACTTCTGTGATTTCCCATGTTTGGTCCTGTGGTCTCCATGTGTCTGAGCTGACCTACACTGGAACCTAACTCTCCTCCTGGCCAGGGTCTCTGAGAGTGGCTCTTGTCAGAAATACACAGGACACAGGTCAGGCAAAAATCACCAGGCATCTCCTAGTCTCGACAGATGTTCTGTGAGAGGGAGGCCTGGTCGTGGGATGCACACCTGGCCACTGCTAGGGTAAGGAAGTGTCCTGTGAAAGGCACATGTTAAGCATCCACAACCCCCTGCCCAGAACCCCAGAAAGGCAGGGCTCCAATTGACAGCCACTCTCCAGAGACAAACCTCAAGCCCTAACTGGAGGAAAAGAAAACAATGTAAAAAGTTGAATTTATCTTACTATTTTAATGATCCAGTACAGATATTCTATGCCTGTACACCACATATTTTCTTCGATTGTGGATATATTTTAGATAAAATTTTATGTCTGGCTTTCACTTTAGCCTGGTCCCTATCTCAAGCATAAGGTAAAGATTTTCCATGGGTTCCTTTCTGGTGCTACTACCTGCCAGTGTGAACTCATGTCCTAGTCTATCTTGAGGGAATCCCCCTATTCATTATTGTCAGAGTGAGACTGTTAAGTCTTGATTTCCCTGGACAACTTCATTGCATGACTTTTAATATGATTTTTAAATATACCCTTTACTGGACAATAAACTACATAGGTATCTGAGTAAGAGATATGGTCAGGAAGAGGCATTGCCTCATTCAGCTTTTCTGTTTGGTGAACTTGCATATGTTCTCCTCACCCACCAGTCACCTCTAAACCGTATTGTTCGAAGACAACAAACAGAACTCGACTGTGTATCTTTCACCACTGGATTTGTCTCTGCTCCATAAAGCTTAATGCTTAATAGGGTTTCTGTTAGCATTTTCTATATATATATTTCCCATAAAATATCACAGGCCTTCTTCATATGGAATTATGGGTGATTTCCTTCAATCTACATCATATCAAGTTGAGGTTCATGTTGATGGAAAGTAAAACATACGTTTAAAATATCAGTAATGATGTTTTCCTCTCCTTTTTAGCACATGTGCCTGTGAGAGTCATTGTAATACAATTCTAGTCTCATGCTTTGATCATTCCTAAGATTAAAATAACATTTTTAGATAAAATATCTGAGTTTTATGAGGCCTTTTGTATATGATGTGATAGAATATCGGAAGACCATACTTTTTTCTAGTTTTCCATGCAATTCTATCATTGTTTCATCTTTACTCCTACCAGAGTAATTTTCCAGAATAGATATCTTGTCATTCTTCCTGTTGTTATCGGTAAATAAGTGAAATGAAAAGCTAGATTATATAATTTATCTAGAACAAGAAAGTAGAATTGAATCTATATTCATTAATGAGACTAAGCAGTCAATTACACAGATAGGCATTTTACATTTTGAAGATCATATGGACCCACTGTCAGATATATTATCATTTATGTCTACATGGACATCACCTGTGCATATTTATGGAGAAATCAATGAGAGCTGATTTTTATTTGTATTATATATATTTTTTGAGATAGGGTCTTGCTTTGTTGCCCAGGCTTGGGTGCAGTGGTGCAATCACTGCTCACTGCAGATTCAACCTCCCAAGTTCAAGCAATCCTTCCACCTTGGCCTCCCAAATAGCTAGGACAACAGGTGCACATCACCATGCCCACCTTTTTTTTTTTTTTTAACTTTTGATAGAGACTGGGTCTTGCTATGTTGCCCAGATTGCTCTTGAACTCCTGGGCTCAAGGAATCCTCTCATTTCAGCCTCTTCAACTGCTGGTATTACAAGCATGAGCCACCATATGGGCTGGAAGCTTATTTTTAAAATGCTGAGATCATATAGATGACAGCACCTGAAAAATAGACAACACCAAGCTTTATGTTAAAAGGTGTGAGGGTATCAATATTGTTGTGGCTATTGGGGAGGAAAACATTAGTAAAACCAGTGAGTTAAAGCTGTTGCTTTAAACTTTGGCCTTAATTCAACAAATGTTCTCTGTGGTGATAGTATGTACGTAACCACGCTATGCTCATTCACAGATGCAGTAGAAGGAAGAATTTCTCAAAGACAACTGTTCTAAGATTGAAATTAAACCGTACTGGGTTTAAAAAGAGAAAGTCCAGGAATTACCAAATATTTTAGATATCAGATAAAAGAGAATGCCAGGTATGCGATGATAATCAGCAATGGTTGTTCACACAATATATCAAATCAGTATTTGAATTAGCTTTTGAATTACAAGGACAAATGGATCAAGTCTTGACTCTCTAGTAGATAAATCTTATTAGGCTGAGATGTGTTTTCTCTTGTTTTTCCACAAGGAGATTGCAAATTTGCAAACCTCAGCTGCTCTCATTTTATGCTCTCACCAATCCAAAAGCTGAAGTTCATCAATCAGTGTGTCTAAGTGTTCACTAGTTATATACCATTTTGTAGTTTAGGCTATCTTTTCAACTTCCTAAATCATCACCTTCATTTGACCTTGTTTTTTTCCACTATCACTTCTTTATTGACCATATAAAGAATACAAGTAAGTTCTTATTTTGTTATTGTTCATTTTAGTCTAATCTCATCAAAATATCATAATTCTTTAATTTCATTTTAATTTCAAAGATTAAATGAAACCTACATTGAAATGAGTGTAAGATTACATTTGCGTTATTTTGGCATCAATTTGCTATCCTCCCTCATACACATAGAGATCATTTCCATGTACGTGATTTCAAACATCCAAGTGCAGTATTAAAAGTAGTTGTAAATTATGGTTCTCATTTTCATGATACAATTACTATATAAACTTCCTCTTGCTGCTGTAACAAATTATCATGAAATTCATATCTTACAATAAAGTGACTGTTAAGCCTACAGTTCTGGAGTTCAGAAACCTTAAATGAGACTCACAGGGCTAATATCAAGTTTTGTGCAGGGCTGCAGTCTTTCTGAGGGCTCTGTGGCAGAGTCTATGTACTTTATTTTTTTCAGCATGCAGAGGCCACCTTTATTCCTTGGAACATGACCTCATTCTTATATCTTTTTTTTTTTCAGATAGTGTCTCCTTCTGTCGCCCAGGCTGGAGTGCAGTGGCACAATCTCAGCTCACTGCAACCTCTGTCTCCTGGGTTCAAGCGATTCTCCTGCCTCAGCTTCCTGAGTAGCTTGGACTACAGGCACGTGCCACCATGCCTGGTTAATTTTTTGTAATTTTAGTAGGGATGGGGTTTCACCATGTTAGCCAGGATGGTCTCGATCTCCTGACCTCGTGATCCACCTACTCTGGCCTCCCAAAGTGCTGGGATTAGGCGTGAGCCACCGCGCTGGGTCCTCATTCTTGTATCTTAAAAGTCAGTGATGTTGAGTAATTTCTCATGCCACCACCTCCATGGTTGCCTTTCTTCTGCCTTCTTCTTTCACTTATAAGGAAGCTTGTGATTTCATTGATCCCAACCATTTAAGATAATCTCTCCAACATTTTATTGCAACCTTAATTTCACTTGAAATCTAATTTTCCACAGCCATGTAACCTAACATATTTGTATGTTAGACTCTGGGAATTAGGACATGAACATTTTTGGGAGGCCATCCTTTTGTCTACAGCAGACATAATCTATTTACCTGCAGATTAAAGTGTTCTTTATTTTTCTTCCTCCATGTCTTAATTTTTTTAAATAATATGAATTGTAGTAAAGAGAAAGAAAGAAAAGAAAAGAAAGAAAGTAAAAAGAAGGAAGGAAAGAAGGAAGGAAAGAAAGAAAGAAAGAAGAAAGAAAAGAAGGAGGAAATGAGATAAGGAAGGAAGGGAGGGAGGGAGGAAGGGAGGGAGGGAGGAAGGGAGAAAGGCAGGAAGGGAGAAAAAAGAAAGAACACAAGAAAGAAAGGAAGAAAGAAAGAGACAGAGAGAGAAATAAAGTGAGAAAGAAAGAAAGGAAGGAGGAAGGGAGGAAGGAAAGGAGGAAGAGAGAATGGTAAAAGGGAGGAAGGCAAAGAAAGAAAATAAAGAGGAAAAGGAAGGAAGGAAGGAAGGAAAAATGAGGAAAGGAAGGGAAGGAGGAAGGAAGAAAAGGAGGGAGGGAGGACGGGAGAAAAAAGAAAGCAAGGAAGTGAGAAAGAAAGAATAAGAGAAAAGAAGGAAGAAAAGAAGGGAGGGAGAAAGGAAGGGAGGGAGGAGGGAAGGAAGAATCAGAGGAAAGAAAGAAGGAAGCAAAGAAGGAAGGAAGGAGAAAAAAGAAAGAAAAAGAAAGGAAAAGAAAAAAGAAAAGATGAAAAGAAGAAAGGAAGGAAGAAGGGAAGGGAAGAGAAGAGAAAGGAAGATGGAAAGAAGGAAGGAAGACAGCAAACATTAGAAATTCTGGTTTTGTTAGAGAATATGCCATACTGTTTTTTTTTCACTTGAAAGGAAAGAGTATCTGCCATTGAAGATTGGATGTCTTGTTGGTGATATTGTTCTTATCTTCCATATGATTACTGAGTCTGTTCCTAGTCTGTCCCTCACTAAGACAAAAGTTTTGAAGTCTGTAAATATAATTTTGGATTTTTCTAGTTCACCTTTGATTTCTTTCATGTTTTACCTCATGTATTTGGAGGTTCTGTTGTTAGCTGCATTCCCTAATTAGTAGGATGTTTACATCTTCTTGAGAATTGATTATCATATTATCTATTATCTCTCATCTCTGATACTATTTCTTGTTCTGAACTCTGTTGTGTCTAATATCAATGTAGTCCTTCCACAGATTTATTTTAGTGTTTCCATGATATGGCTTTCTCCATATCTTGATGATAACCTATTTATATCTCTATATATTTGGAGAAAGATATAAAATTTAGAGTTGATTTTTTAAAGATTTTCCAAGATGTAATTCTTATTTTTGTTCTATTTGACATTCTCTGAGTTTCCTATATCTGAAGTTTGATTTTCTGTCACTTCTTTTAGAATATTTTTGGCAGTTATTTTGAAAAATATTTCTTTTGTTCCATTACTTTTTCCTCTTTTCTTTTTGGGATTTCAATTATAACTAGGGTAGGTAATTTCATCTCAGTCTTATGCAGGTACCTTTTCTCAGGATCTCAGGAATGCAGACTTCTCACACTTCTGTTCTTTTCCTGGCTGTGTTGGTGAGCTCAGTGATATTCCTCCATCACCTTCAAGAGCAGTTTTGTTTTGTTTTTCCTGTTTTCATACTCCCAGCATCAGGAGTGTTCTAGGTGTGTCAGTTTTTGTTACCTTCCCCTACATATTAAGTGGAATATCTTGGTCTATTTGGACTCTTATTACAAAATAATATGAACTGGGTGACTAAAAAGCAACAGATATTTCTTTTTTCACACTTCTTGAGGCTGTAAGGTCTCAGGTAAAGATGCTCACAAATTCAGTGTTGATGAGAGCCCATTTCATGGTTCATAGATGGTGCCTTCTTTCTATGTCCTCACATAGTGGAAGGCACACAAGAATTCCATTGAGCTTCTTTTATAAAGGCACTAATCCCATTCATAAGGGCTCGGCCCCCAAGACCTGGTCACCTCCCAAGTGTTCTGCTCTCCCTGATCTGTATCATATACAGACTCTCTTGGATTCCTTACCAATTGCTTGAGAGATCACATTGGGTTTGTGGGGAAAAAGTTTTCAAGATGATGGATCTTTCCCGAGTTCTGCAGCTGTCAGCCATCTCCCAATCTGACCAGCCCCACTTTGTCCTTAGGAATTTATTGATTATTCCAGCTTTACTTCTCATAGTGGTGTCTATTTGCATCTGTCCTATGTAAGTGCATCTGTCCTCTTTCTCCTTGTAGGTGCTTGCTTTCCCTCACATTTTGACTGAGTTCTTGGCAACCTGGTTGCTATAAAAATAAAATCATGACTTTGAAGTTAGTTTGGTTATTACATTGTGGTAAGGTTAGGAGCCCTACTCCATCCCAGCTCTGCAAAACCCAGAATTTTTGGGGGGTTGAAATTTTAGGCTTTCCCTTTGAATTGTAGTTTTATCTTATTTCAGTTACAATTTGCATTTTAATTATGATTAATGAGACTAAGCTTTTTTTGTGTAGTTGACTGTACCTTTGGATTTTTTTCCCAAATCCCTTTTCATTTCTTATTTTCTTTATGGTTTCAGAAAATGTAGTTTACATAATTGCAGCTTGATTTTTTAATCAGTTAATGGCATGCTTAATGGAGAGAAAAAATATTAACTATATTTCCCTTTTTAATTACTGTGCTTTTTTCTTTTTTAAGAAAATATTTCATTATGTTAAATTTCAGTGTTATTCTACTTAGCTATTCCTTAAATATTATAGTATTTTGGATTTCACATATAATTTTGTAACATATCTTGAGTTTTTTGTATATACAGTAAGGCTATTTTCTCTTTTTTGTTTTTTAAGGCAAAAATCACATAATATAAAATTAATAACTTAACCATTTTAAAACATACAATGCAATTGCTTTTAGTATGTTCACAATGTTCCAGGACAATTTCATCATATCCCTTCTAACAACCCATTATGCATAAAGTTGTTACACCCTATTCTGCTTCCCTGAGCCCTAATGACCACTAATCTGATTTATATCCCAATTGATTTGCCGATTCCTGATGTTTCATGTGAATAAAATCAAGTAATGTTTGTCCTTCTGTGAACTTAACATAATGCTTTCAAATTTCACCCATATTACACCATGTATAAGTACTTCATTCTTTGTTATAGCTGGAAATTGGGTGTCCACTTATGAGTCAACAAACATATGGATTGTTTCCACTTTTTGACTGTATGAATATTACTGCTGTAAATATTCATGCACATGTTTATTTTTTGAGCACCTATGTTTTGTAAGAGTAACAGCTGACTTAACAGAAACAATGGAAGGCAAGAGGCAGTAGAATAATATAGTTGAAAGATGCAAAGGAAAAAAAAAACTGTCAGCCACCAATTCCTTATCCAGCAATTATTTTTCAAAAATGAAGATAACACAAAGACTTACCCAGATAAACAGAAATATTAACTGAAGTTGTTGCTGGCAGACCTACCATAAAAAAAAAAAAAAACTAAAATAAATTCCTAAGGCTAAAAGCAAGTTACACAAGACAGTCATTTGAATCCACATTTTTAAAAAAGCACTGCTATAGGTAATATTAACATTATAAAAGACAGTATAAATGCATGTTTTCTCTTTATCATAAATTGTTTATAAAATAATATGTGTATAATGGCCGGACACGATGGGTCATGCCTGTAATCTCAGCACTTTGGGAGGCCGAGGCAGGCATATTACGAGGCCAGAAGATCGAGACCATCCTGGCTAACACAGTGAAACCCCGTCTCTACTAAAAATACAAAAAATTAGCCGGGTGTGATGGCGGGCGCCTGTAATCCCAGCTACTCGGGAGGCTGAAGCAGAAGAATGCATGAAGCCGGGAGATGGAGCTTGCAGTGAGCGGAGATTGTGCCACTGCACTCCAGCCTGGGTGACAGAGGGAGACTCCATCTCAATGATAATAATAATAATAATATGTGCATGATGTATTGCTGAGTATTTGACATGTAGAAACGTAACATGTCTATAACATATTTTCCAGTAACATCAAAAAGGAGGTAGTTGGAAGAAAAATGTATTGTGATAAGGTAATCCCTCTAGATGGTAAAGTAATAATTACTAAAATGTATTGTTGGCTTTGTAACTTTAATAGATGTAATGTGTAAAGTGATAATACCTTAAAATGGAGGAAATAAAAGAGATTTGTAAAAGAATGATGTTTCTATTACTAAAAGTTTACTAGTATAAATTGGAAGACGATTTGAATAATTAATTTTCCATATACTTATACGTTAAACTTAAAACAACAACAGAAATTCTCAAAAATAAATAGTAAAATAATTCATTAGTAATCTAAAGTTCCTTGTTTGTTTTAGAAAATATTCATTCATTGCAAAATAAAGCAATAAAGAAAAATATTTGAGAAATATACAAAACAAACGGTAAAATGGCAGACATAAATAAAATTATACCAATTATAATATTAAATGTGAGCAGATTAAAGTCCAATCAAGAGGCAGAGATTGTCAGACTGGATTAACACAAGTGATCCCAATATACGCTGAGATGCAAGGATACTAATGCAAAGTAAACAGATGACAAAAAATACCTTGCAAAGAGCAATCATAAGAACACTGAACTCATTATACTCATAACACACGATATAGACTATTAAAAATGTGAATAGTATTTTAAAAATTTATATTGTAGTAAAAAGGGTGTCAACGCTTTCGGAAGACATAGCTATTACAATCATGTATGCACAGATAGGAGCTAAATTGTTTCCTCTATATAGATGCTGAAATCCTAACCACTGAATATGACCTCATTAGGAAATAGGTTCTTTGCAGGTGATCAAGTTAAGATAAAATCAGATGAGCCTGAATTCCATATGACTGATGTCCTTATAAAAAGAAGAAATTTGAGTAGAGGGAGACATACACACAGGGAGAGTACCTTGTGATTATGAGGGCAGAGATTAGCCAAGGAATGCCAAAGACTGCCACTAAACCACCAGAAGCTAGAAACAAGGCATAGAACAGACTTTCTCTCATAGCCCTTGAAGGGACCATCCCTGCTGACACCTCAATCTCAGACCTTTAGCTTCCAGGACTATAAGACTATAAATGTATGTTGTTCAAGGCACCCAGTTTGTGTTACTTGGTTATGGCAGCCCTAGAAAACTAAAACATGAACTAATAACAAAGCATAATAACATGAAGCAAAAATTGACAAAAGAGGAGCATCAGCAAAATGGCAGTGGAGACAGCTGCAATCTTTCATTTCCCCACAGAAACATCACACAACTAAGAGAAACTGTCCGAATAAACTTTGCCAAATCTCTGGAAAATGGTCAAAAGATTACAACAACCAAGTGAAATCAGACTCAAGAAAAAGACAACTTGAAAACTTTATGACATTTTTAACTTGCCTTTGCCCCAGCAAATTGGCAGTTTTGAAGTGTCAGAAGCCCACGTTCCCAATGAGGAACCCTGGTCCATGGTCCAAAGGAACAAGAGAAGATCTTACCCGCAAATTATAATGTGTCTGTTCTGACTGGTCTGGGGGATACCTAAAGGACTAATGAAAGGCTTTTTTTTCTTCTGCATTGCTAGAATACAGAAGAGATAAGGAATGGACATTATTAAGAAACTCTGCAAGGAGACCTAACAAACCACAGATGCTTAGGGCAAAAATTAGAGTTTACACATATAGTAGATCACCTTCAGCACAGGAAGAAAAGTTGGAGAAGAGTATTTGGAAAACTAAGACATTCAAAATCATTCACGGACATGGGAGAGTCTAGAAAGTCACATGTATGCATAGGTTAAGCCACTTGCTGACAAATGTCATAAGAAGACCCTACATTTTTACCTTGGCTGAACCCTCCCCTCAGTGCAAGCTCTGTGCAAGAGTGAACTTGATCTTCACTCAGTGCAAGAGTGAACACACACTTTGTGCCGGCATTAAAGAACCCAGCACAAAGCCAGTCTGCATGGCGTAGAGACATATCTTGCTGGATAATGATTCCTTGTTTTTCTTTTTTTGTTGTATTTGCCTGTTTGCTTAGTTCCTGACATACAAGAAAATCACTGTCAAAACATTAGCTTAACATTTGTTAAGGAAACAAAAAGACTTCAGTGACCACACCTTATAAAGCAAACAGTTTTGTAAATCGCTTTGGAAAATTTCACTAAAAATTAAAACCTTAACAATAATAAGTAAATAAAACTTATAACCACAAAACATTAGTGTGTTTGTAGGGGGGGGGTCTGATTTACAGAGTAACCACATAGTAATTATAATTATTATAATGTCCAGTTTTCAAAAAGTTACAAGGCATACAAAGAATGGGAAAGTATGGCTCATTCAAAGGAACAAAATAAATTGACAGAAAATATCTCTAAGGAAACCCAGACATCAAACTTACTAGACGAAGACTTTAAAACAACTCTCTTAATTATACTCAAATGTCAAAAGGAAAACAGAAACAAAGAAATAAAGGAATCAGAAAAAAAATATTAAAAAGTAGGACTATCAACAAAGAGATAACAGAAATTCTGGAGTGGAAAACTACAATGATAAAAATTAAAAAATCACCAGAGGGATTTAAGAGTATATTTACACACACAGAAGAAGTCATGAGCCTGAAGATAAGAAAATGGAAAATATTGACTCTGAGAAACTGATAAAAAATGAGCAGAGACTAAGGAATCTGTGGGACATCATCAAATAGACCAACATTCATATTCTAGAAGGTTAAATTATGTTGTTAAAAATTTTACCATTCTTTCTTTTCACCTTTCTTTCTTCCTCCCTCCCCCTCCTCCTCCTTTTTACTTTTCGTCCTCTTCCTTTCTCCTGTTTCTCTCTTTCATTATCCCTTTCGCTCTGTTTCTCTTTCTCCCTTTCTCTTTTTTCTTTTCTTTCAATTTTCTCAATTACTAAGAGATGTTTAAATACCCTTACCATGTTAGTACATATGGTTATTTATCCCTTTAGTTCTCTTTTGAGATTTATAGTCACTCTAAGTAAAGAGATAACCCAAACATAAGCCCCATAAACAGGCTTCCATACCATTCTTAATTTGGTCCTGTAATTCTTCGTTGCTGTATTAACTTTCTGATGCTTTTAAGGATGTTTTATAACAAATTGTTTAGTTTTTTCCAATGGAATGTTTATTCTGAATTATCTAATTCATATTGTAAGTATATAGGGAGTTTAATATAAAATTGTTAAACTAATATTTGTGAAAGAATGTATTTGTGCATTTAACAAATATGTTAATCCTCAAACTGTTATTGGGCAGCTGAGCATACAGCAATGAAAATAACATAATTTTTACGTGTACAATATTTATGGAATACGTTACTGGAACAAATAAATAATTTAGTTAATAACATGACAAAGAACAGAAATGGTATACACTATAGAGCACAGTAATGGAATAATGAATGATTAAAGTTATAAATATTAGGTAGAAAATGCAGGGTATCTTTAAGAGCAGATCTCAAGGAAGCAAGCAATTCGCCTTATGAGGAAAGAGTTACCTGTGGATAAAGGAGAATCTGAAAAATTTACAAGTCAAGACTTTTTGAGCAAAAACAAAAATATGACCATTAGTCACCAATTCAGTACAGTGAAAAAAAAGTTGAAGAGATATCTTGGAAGTAAACCATGTTGTGGAAGAGCATGTAGGGTTTTGATAATCATGGGATTATTCTGAATTAATTTTAAATGCGATAGGAATATATGAGATACCTTCACCAGAGAATAACATGATTGTGTTTGCATTTCAAAGGAGTGTATCTGGTGCACTGTGTAGAATAAGTAGGTCATGTGAGCAAATAAATTGGGAGGCTATTGTAATCCAGAGAAAAAAGGTAGTGACTTAGGTGAAAATGCTGTTAGTATGAGTGGTATTAGTGGTGAGAAGTCGTTAGGCCATGGATGTATTTCATAGGACTGGCCAAGAGAACTGCAGCTAAATTGGAGTGTAGGGAGTGAAATGGAGAACTTAAAGATGACTCTCAGCACTGGAAGGTGACAGCTGTCACTGAAGCATGCTGATGCCTCTTATTAAGAGAGTTACTTGGGAATGGCAAGATCAAAACTTCTCACTTTCAAATTTATGAAAAATATTGTTTTCAGAACGAATGACTTTGGGATCAGAAAACCATCATTCTAATTGATGGTTCCACGACTACACAAGCTCACACTCCCAAGAGCAAAAGTAAATCATCACAAAGGTGCTTCCTGATAATTCTAGAGAATGGAGAAGTACTGTAACATCTTTCTGATTTTAGGAGAGGTAGCAGTTCCCTTTTTAGCCTAAATGCTATTTTTTTTAAAGCTCAGCCAAGAGACTCTATTATAATTTTCAAATGTGTTTAACTTAAATTCTCATACGAAATACCACTATGCTTAAATTAGTCAAAACATTTTCCCCATCTACAACTCTATCTTTTCATTGCAATCATTTTCACCAAACTGACTGCAGCTAAAAGACCCTAAAAGCGGAAAATCTAGGGTAGGTTATCTGATCTAGTTAGTTTTGCAGACAGGATCTAGAGATTATTTAATATGAAATAGGTCACCTGAAATGAAGTGTTTACTGAAAACAGTTTGGATAAACCCAGTTTTCTACCACTGAACCATGCATTTGGTTTAAAAAACACAACAACTCTGGGGAATATTGGCTGCTTCCAACTGTGTTGAAGGTGTTAAAGAAAAGAGCATAAAATTAAAAATGATCATCTGAGGCCTTTATAGTCTCTGCTCAAGAGACTAGAGTCTTCCATTCTTAACGAAACACCCAAATATCTTCATAATTGGGCAAAATCTAAATATCAGAGAGATAATTTTATCTTGAAGATTGTTAAATTATAATGGTGATTCACTACCTTGCCACGTCTCTGAGTCAAAAATTAGATCTTTCTTTAGGAATCGATGGTACTGTGCAACTTGGAAATAGGAAGATTTTAGAAGACTCAAACATTGACTTTCTTGTGTGCAAAAAACAGACGTATTGACATAAGACAAGTCTTTCCTTGCAAGGATACCTCTAATGCTCATACACCACCTCCCCTAATGTTAATATAGCTTCCAGATCACTAACCAGTGTCAGAGAGCAGCCTATGCAACTACAAATTCAAAAGATGTCAAACACAGCATCAAGCCTAGAATAAGGAGTCTTAGCTAATTTAGTATGCTTTTCTCCCCAAATTCATATTAACAAAAACTTGGATATGTCAGAGAATGCATTCTAAGTTCACTCAACCTAGGAGGGAGAAACATAATTTTAAATTAAGAGCTGAATCATTCTTGTCCTAACAAAGAGCAAGGAAAATGAAATATCACACCACAGGAGGGATTTCACAAATTAGTGTCAACATCAAAACCTTAAAATAGGCAAGGAAAATGGAGATTCACAATTAACTCTTGTACTTGTTTTGTTCAGAGAAGAGATGGTTCTGAGAGAATGACAGTGAATTAACCCCAACTGGTTTAGTTGGTGCTTTCAATTGCTGCTTCTGATAAACTCCTTTAGCTAGAATAAATTGATGAGGATTTTGGCATGTGGTATTAGAGATGGTTATTAATTTTGTCCTCTTATTTGCGTTGCTCAATGTAGTAAATACTAGCTGTATATGGCTACTTAATTTCAAATTAATTACAATGAAATATACTTACATATTGAATTTTTTAGTCACTGTTGGTTCATTATTGAATATCTTCAGCTTAGATTTCCCATCTAAATACACTAAGTGGTGGCTTAGTTAACTGGTCGTCCACAAATATTGATGCTGTTGTTAACTCCTGATATATTCTCTGCAAATAGAATATTCATGAGCCTCCTCCTGAAACCAGCAGCTTAGAGAGAATTTTATAAATTGGACACAAGTTGGAAATCTATACTCTTTCAGTTTTTGAAATATTAGCTTCCCAGGGAACAAAATCAAATTCATAAGATATGTTAGGACAATTTAAGTCAAGATGTTCAAAACTGAAATGACATATTCTACAATATGTGATAAAACCACCCCCTAACAACTTAAAGCAAAACAGGTATTGACCTTAAAGACCTGCCTTTTCCTCATCCCCCAGCCAATCAGTTTTCAAATCTGGCATTTTATTTTAAAAGATCCTTATCCCCCTAGTCTCTTGTTTCTAGACTTGGCACATATTTAAGTTTGTTACCTCTATCTACTGAGTTTCCTCTCTTCAAACAGTATCTATGCCTGCCAAATGTGAACATACAAAAAACAAATCAGAATGTGCCATTCTGATTTAAACTGCTTATTAGTTAATACCCTCAAGATAACATCTGGGTTCTTAGCTGCAATGAGTCAAGCCTACTTACATCTTTTTTTGTGTTTGGCTGCACATTTCCTATCACATCACACTCCAGCAATGCCAAGCCGTGCCGCCTTCTACCCCATTTCCACTATTTTGCCCCCACCGCCGAGGCTTTCTGACCCCGCAGCCGCGGCTTTCTCCCACCGCGGCTTTTTGCCCCTGCCGCCGCTGCTTTTTGCCACCGCTGCTTTTTGCCGCCGCGGCTTTTCCCCCCACCGCCGCGGCTTTTTACGGAATTTCTCCCCCCGCCGCCGCGGCTTTTTTGCCCCCTGCCGTCGCAGCCTTTTGCCCCCGCCACGGCCTTTTGCCCCCGCCGCCGCTGCTTTTTGCCCGAGCCTCCACGGCTTTTTGTCCCCGCCGCCGCGGCTTTTGGCCCCTGCCGCCACGGCTTTTGCCGACGCGGCTTTTTACCCCCACCGCCGCTGCTTTTTGCCCCCGCTGCCACGGGTTTTGGCCGCCGCGGCTTTTTGCCCCCTCCGCCACGGCTTTTGCCTACCCGGCTTCTTGCCCCGCCGCCGCGGGGTTTTTCCCCCGGCCGCAGCTTTTTGCTGCCACCGCCGCGCTTTTTTGCCCCGCCACCGAGGCTTCTTGCTCACGCCGCCGCGGCTTTTTGCCCCCGCCGTCGCTGCTTTTTGCCCCAGCTGCCGCTGCTTTTTGCAGCTTTTTGCCCCTGCCGCCGCGGCTTTTTGTGGTTTTTTGCCCTCGCCGCCGCGGCTTTTTGCCGCTTTTTGCCCCCGTCGCCGCGGCTTTTTGCCCGCGCCACCGCGGCTTTTAGCAGCTTTTTGCTCCTGCCGCCGCCGCGGCTTTTGAGGCTTTTTGCCCCCCCCCCGCCTCAGCTGCTTTCTGCCGCCGCGTTTTTTTGCCCCCACCGCCACTGCTTTCTCCCACCGCGGCTTTTTGCCCCCGCCACTGCGTCTTTTTGCCTCCGCCGCCGAGTCTTTTTACCCCTGCCGCCGCGGCTTTTTACCCCGCCGCTGCGCCTTTTTCCCGCGGTGGCTTTTTGACCCCGCTGCCTAGTCTTTTTGTCCCCACCGCCGCAGCTTTCTGCCCCTGCCACCACCGCTTTTTGCCACCATGGCTTTTTGCCCCCGCCGCAGCGGCTTTTTGCCCCCGCCGCGGCTTTTTGCCCCCGTCGCTGCGACTTTTTCCCTGGCCGCTGCGCCTTTTTGCCCCCGCTGCTGCGGCTTTTTGCGCCCACCGCCGCGGCTCTGAGGGCGGGAGCGGCAGACTCCGCTGCCAGCTCTACTAGCGTCCTGGCGGGGTCAGCGCCGAGGGTCGTTCCTGGTCCAGCTCTTCAGGCTCGGGGGTTCCTTGCCTAGGCTCCCGAGCCCCCTGCCTGGGCCACTGCGGCTTGCATAGAGCGGCCCTGCGTGCGGCGGCAATGAGAGAAAAGAAGGAGGGTGGTGGCGGGGGTGACGCCGCCAGGTCCAGTCCTCTCATCTTGTAGGTGAGGAAACCGAAGGCCTGAGGGAGAACTGACTTGCCAGAAACCCCTGTTAAGGAGAATTAACAAAGTTTGATTAATAAAGGAGCACTGACTTGGGAGTGCGACCTGGAGGCCCACAATCTTGGTTAAGACATTATACCACCTTGAGTCTGGCCTGTTGAGTGAGGGTGAGCCACTCCATCCTCGTCTGATTGTGGGGTCTTGACCTCAAGGGGTTTCCTGCAGGAAGAAGCAAATGGGTTTGCTTTCCTAGCTCTGTCCAGTACCTTAGGGACCCTGAGGACTGGAGAGATTCTTGGAGAGACATCTGGTGTATGTCATGGGTGGGCCTTTCTTGAAGGTCAGTCTGCCCAGTGGGCTGGCTCAGCCCCAATGAACTGTCTTGAATCTTTGGAGTTGTCTGTGTACTTTTAAGGGCTTCTTATCCTTGCACCAAAAGATCCCCTGGAAATTAGGTGGGAAAACCTTAACTTTTGTGGGGCCTTGTGTTTGTCTTAAAAGTTCATGCACATGGCCAGGTGTGGTGGCTCACACCTGTTATCCTGTCCTGGATCCTTTGAGTCAAGTTGTTTGAGACCAACCTGGACAATATAGTGAGACCCCGTCTCTACAAAAAATAAAATATTAGCCAGGGGTGGTTGCGTGCATCTGTAATTCCAGCTACTACTGTGGCTGAGGCGGGAGGAGCACTTGAGCCTGCACTGAGCTGTGATCTCACCAGTGTACTCCAGCCTGGGCCACAGAGCAAGACCTTGACTCAAAAAAAAAAAAAAAACCAACAAGAAAAATTCTTGAAGATTTTGCATTCTGTCCCACTATCCATTGGTTTTCATGTCAAGATAATGTCAGAAATTCTTTACAATTGCTTCCAGAAGGAGTAGACTTTTGATCTAGTGCACAGGTGTCCAGTCTTTTGGCTTCTCAGGGCCACATTGGAAGAAGAATGTTCCTGGGCCACACATAAAATAACTAATGCTAACAACAGCTGATGAGCTTAAAAAAAAAAAAGGTTTGTACATAATTTTCATGATACCCACCACCACAGATAGGCGGAAAAGTCCTTGTAGTCAAAGGGTTGGACACGGCTGATCTAGTGTCTTGTAGTCCGTTTTGGCTTTCTCCCTGATTCCAGAATGCAGGTAGAGATGTAGAGACATGCTCTCAGGACAGCTGTTGAGATAAAAAAAAAATTGTTGTCATTTATTCCCAAGCACAGCTGTTTGTCATTTGCATTGAAAAAGTCTCCCTTCAAACTGCTGTCACATATAAAATCTATTTATATAAGTCTGTATTTTTCTGTTGTCTTGGACTTTGTGGGCAGTAGTGGGCTTTAACCGAGCAAATTGTCCTTCCAAGTAATGAAGCCGAAGTCAGCCTACCTGCTTGCCATTTTTCTTCCCCTTCCATTTTTCTAACCTCAGGATAATTGTAAGAATGAAGTAAGATTTGTGTTTAAGGCCAGGCACAGTGTCTCAGGCCTCTAATCTCAGCACTTTGGGAGGCAGAGATGGATGTCTCACTTGAGCTCAGGAGTTCAAGACCAGCCTTGGCAACATACTGAGACTCCGTCTTATATAATTTAATTAAAATTTAAAAAAAGAAGAGAGAAACACCTGTGTTTAAAATTTAAAAAAGGGGGGGAAAGTGTAATGCAAAATGTGGACTATGCCAGCTATGATTGGGAAAAATAATTTTTCCTACAGCATTATCTGTAGACTTGTATTAGCAGCATACTGGTCATAAGCGTTTTGCCTTCCTCAAATATGATGAGGTAAGCTACTTTAAAGTCTGGTGGGGCTTTCCTCCGTGTGGCTCCTGGAGGTGTTGAGTCCCAATTTAGACAACTAATTCGGGTTTAGTTTTGATATGGATAAGGGAGACCAGCTTCATTCATGGTGCACACACAGTTTTGTCAATAAGGAGAAAAAAAAGCCAACTGAATGTTCCTGCTCATTAGATGCTATCTGTAGAGCTCCTACCCCACCTCCACCAAGGCCCGGGCCCTTAATAAGACTAAATGCAGCCTTTCTGTAACTCATACTGTATTCTGCAGGATGCTCCTGTGAAAGAAAGTTGTGCTGCATCAGCCATCTCCCTCCTGAAGATCCCTGCGGATAAGGATTTGTGTTTTAAAGGTTCTCAGAAGTCCTGCACCAACAGTTCTCAAACTTATTTGTCCAGGGGATGTTTTCTTCCTCTGAACGTAGTTGGGGAGACACGGCCTTAAGCCTTGAGCAGAGACAGAGACAAGAAACTGTTGTCTCACTTACAACCAAGTGTTGTGTTTATGTTTTAGCTTTTTATGAAACTGAGGTGCTGTTTGATGTTCCAAATCAAACTGGGTGGTTGAAGAGAGCCTGGTATCCCTGTAGACTTAGCCGGCAATGAGAGGTTGCTTTTTGTTGAAGGAGGTGTTTTACAAAGGGAAATAGGGTGTCTCCTGGGCATCATATTAGCACTTAAATACATGTATCACTGAAATGAAATGAAATGATGAAATGATGAAATGAAATGAAATGATGGAATGAAATGAAATGATGAGATGAAATGATGAGACGAAATGATGAAATGAAATAATGAAGTGAAAGGATGAAATGATGAGATGAAGTGATGAAATGAAAAGATGAAATGGAATGATGAAATGAAATGAGGAAATGACGAAATGCAATGGTGAAATGAAATGAGGAAATGAAATGAAATGAAATGAAATGATGAAGTGAAATGATGAAATGAAATTAAATGATGAAATGAAATGAAAAGATCAAATGATGAAATGAAGAAATGATATGAAATGATGAAATGAAATGATGAAATGAAATTAAATGATTAAATGATGAAATAATGAAATGAAATGATGAAATGATGAATTGATGAAATGAAATGATCAAATGAAATGAAATGACGAGATAAAAAGATGAAATGAGATGAAATGATGTGATGAAATGAAATCAGGAGATGAAATGATGAAATGATGAGATGATGTGAAATGATGAAATGAAATAATGAAATGACAAAATGCAATGATGAGATGAAATGATGAAAGGAAATAATGCAATGAAAGGATGAAATGATGAGATGAAATGATTAAAGGATGAAATGAAATGATGAAATGAAATGAGGAAATGAGGAAATGAAATGATGAAATGATGAAGTGAAATGATGAAATGAAATGAAAAGATGAAATGATGAAATGATATGAAATGAAAAGAAATGATAAAATGAAGTCAAATGATGAAATGATGAAATGATGAAACTAAACAATGAAATGATGAAATAAATGAAATGAAATGATGAATTGATGAAATGAAATGAGATGAAATGATGAAATGAAATGATGAAATGAAATGACGAGATGAAAAGGTGAAATGAAATGATGAGATGAAATGATGAAATGATGAGATGAAGTGAAATGATGAAATGAAATGAAATGTTGAGATGAAATGATGAGATGAAATGATTAGATGAAATGATGAAATGATGAAATGAAAGGATGAAATGAAAGGATGAAATGAAATGAAATGATGAAATGAGGAAAAGAAATGATGAAATGAAGTGAAATGATGAAATAGATGAACCAAACATACTTATTCATTTTTTTCTTGGCATCCTTCTAAGAGTATTTTAGTGAGATTAATTTCTAAAAATAAATTGCTATTCAATGGCCATACAGTTGGCCTTTGCACCACAGTGGTTTGAACTGTGCAGGTCCACTTAGCAAAACCAACAATTCTATATCCTTCTCCACACCCTGCCCATGAAAAGGATGAGGATGAAGATCTGTTTGATCATTTACTTCCATTTAATAACTAGTAAATATATTTTCCTTATGATTTTCTTTTTCTTTTCTCTGGCATGTTTGTTAAGAATACAGTATATAAGACATATAACATATTAAATATGTGTTAATTGACTGCTTGTGTTATTTGTAAGGCTTACAGTAGGCTATTAGTAGTTAAGTTTTGGGGAAGTCAAAGTTATAGTGGATTTTCTACTGTACAGGGGGGCCAGCACCCCAGCCTCCGTGTTGCTTAAGGGTCAACTGTACATGTTATTTCCTTTCTTGTAAGAGAAAAATGATGAGAAGGTCTTTTCTCCAATAAGTGTATTCAAAATGTAGCAGACTTGAAATGTGTTGGCGCCACCATTTTGCGTCTCACTTTGAAAACTTATTATTAAAAATCGTGCTAAAGCCTACCTTACTTTTCCAACCTTAGAAAAAATGTTACAAAGAAAAGGGGTGAAACCATGCTAGTTTGCACTGAAATTTGAAATTATCTTTTAAAAATATATTTTTACTTTAATTACTTCCAAAATTGAGATCAGTTGCATACAAATGGCAGGTCATCCTAATCCATCCTATGACTGCACTTAGATTCATGAGGACTTGTGCCATCTAGAAAGGGCAGAGAAGAGGAGCCACATGCTTTGATTCTGTTGTCACTGTGTACTTACTGCTAGGAAGAGGGCATGTTTGTGTATTTTTATGCTAATATTTATCCAAGTTGTTAATGATTTAGGCTTTCAGAACCATATAAAGATTTTTTTCCTTTCAGATATAAACTATCTTGCATTGTTCTTCTGATCATATGAGTGATAAATTTGCCTAAATATTCTTCAGACCATAATAGTATGTCCATACAAATGCCAGTAGCAAGAGTAGAATCAACCACAACTGCCTTTGTAATTATTTAAAGCATGTGTGCCTATAAGTAATTGGCATTTTATATAATCAAGAATCTTTGATATAATAATATCTCAACTATTTGAAACATGGCTTACATATATTAATTTTATATGCAAATATAGATATAATATCATTGTATATGAAACTAAATTTTGGACTTTAAAACAGCTTCTTAGAATCTTGACTTAAATGTCTAAAGTAATATTTGACTTAAAAAATTTAGCACACCGTCACTATGATGAAAAAAATTACTATAAAATTATTGAAAAATTTTTTCCACACTAACATTTAGACTATTCTCACATTTGTGGTTAAAACCTATTGCGATTGTTCTTAGAATTTAGATAAAAAATGTTCCAGAAAGTTTGAAGAGCAGCACTTTAGTCCATTTTTATTTGTTCAAGCATGAAGAAAGGCATTGACCTTTTAAAAACTATTCAGATTCCCTCTTTGAATTCAAGTGTTTCAAAGATATCTTATTTTAAAATACCAAAATAGGAATAGAATATGAAGGGCTGGTTATGAGTAACATGATACACATTTATGAGAGGATGAGATTACAATAACAATACCTCCTCTCATAGAATAGCCAGCAAGTCTCCACTAAATAACAGTGCCTTGATTTTATAGATGTTTAATCATGGATATTGAGTTAATGTGAACCATTTGTAGACACAGGAGTTTATTAAAGAATTATATAATATCTTTCAAGTATTAAGAAGTGTGTTGAAATTAAGCCTGCATCCCCACGATTTTCAGAGGTGCTGATGCCTAATAAACTCAACCCCTTGCATGCCAAAATTGGCTTAAAGCCCACCCGTTACCCAAGCTACACTTCAAGCATCAAGGCTCAAAAATGTAATTTTAAATATGCAAGAGTTTGAGGAATTCACTACTCACATTTTCTTGAAAGTCTATCCAAGTGCATCAAGCACAATGTGAGTAAAGAAATTTTGACCAAAGGATTGATAGTAATGTTGAATATATTCAATAGTAGATCTAAGATTAAAAGGTGAGAGTGAGGGTGAGAAGAGTGTGTGAATGCTTCGTGTTCTGACAAAGAGAATGTAGCACCCAGGTCCTACCTGCTTGGTTGCATTGCCAGTGCCCACGGTAGGCTATTTTATCCAGGTTTTTAGGTTTTTTTGTTTTGTTTTGTTTTGTTTTTTTCTGTTCAAGAGGGTTAGTCCAAGACCAATAACTCCATAACTGGTAGATTTGGAAGATTTCAATAGTGCTTAACATTTTGTACATAGCTTTATAACAGTTTTCTTTTCCTTTTATTCTGAGAGATTCTTTTCAATATACCCCATCATGGTTGAACTCAAAGTCATTGCTTATATAAAATCCACAACTGCTGACATTTTGTATCCTTTGCATTCCAGGTAATTCTTTTTGTACATTTTCTGTATTTTTCTCCATCAGTCTACCTAGATATTTCTTAGATTTAATATTTTAGTATTTTTCTGAAAAAGTGAGCTTTTGCATGTTTAAATATATACTCAGTTGCTTTATTTCTGCTTTTTCATGTACTATTTCCTCTTTTTTTTGACACGGAGTCTTGCTCTGTCGCACAAGCTGGAGTGTAGTGGCGTGATCTCTACTCACTGCAACCTCCAGCCCCCACGTTCAAGCAATTATCCCACCTCAGCCTCCCGAGTAGCTGGGATTACAAGTGCATGCCACCATGCCAGGCTAATTTTTGTATATTTAGTAGAGAGTGGGTTTCACCATGTTGGACCAGGCTGGTCTCTAACTCCTGACCTCAGGTGATCCACCTGCCTCGGCCTCCCAAAGTGCTGGGATTACAGGCGTGAACCATGGCGCCTGGATATTTCCTTCATTCTTTATGTTTATTTTACTGGTTTTATATATCTCTCTCTCACTGTTTCTCTCCTTCTCACATTCACTTTGAAGTTGTCAAATAGCCCAGGTGATATTACAGATTGACTCCTTATAAAAGGAGGCATTACGCGTTACACATGCATCTTAGTGGCCTTACAAAAGTGTTTGGTTCATTTGTATTGACAATTCACCTTTAAAATATTTAAATCGTCATTAAAATAGCTTCCAACCAATATTATTAGCCTTATGTTTCTAGCTTTCTTTATTGTATTGATATTTACCTTCATTGCTGTTTGTTTAGGAAATATATTGTGTCACGTTATTTCCGTGAAAATTGTTTGAATTTGTGGTATGGTCTAGAAAATGTTAATTTTTGTAAGTATTCGGTATGAACATGAAAATGACATGAATTATAATATTCATGTTCCTTATATAATATTTGCCCTTTTTAAAATCTAGTAGCTTCTTTTAAAACTTACTCTTTTAATTTCTTCTTGTATCTATTACTGAAGGATATGTGTTTGAAATGTCTATAATAATTTGGGGGCTTATCCATTTTTACTTACTTGCTGATATTTTTGCTTTATATATTTTGACTCTCTAAATACGTGTTTGTGTGTGTGTGTGAGAGAGAGAGTGTGGTGTGTGTGTATATATGTATATATATATATCAGGCTAATGCACATTTAAGTCATCACATCTTCTTAATAACTTTAAACTTTTATTACACTGGTTAGACTAACTTATTTTAATAAATGTTTCTAACTTACATTCTATTTTGTCTACATAGCAACTTTTTAAAAAATTATATTCATGTAATATGTTTGCATGTATATCATATATACACACACTATCTGTATTGTTTGAACTTCAAAGTTTCTGAAAATTTATATATTAGTTGCCTCTCGTAACTACGATAGAGACGGAATTTTTTAATTTTGCCAATCTTTGTATTTTAACAAAAACATTGTCTACTTAGGTTTAAGTTAATCTTTGATCACTTATACTTAATTTGTTTTATTAATTTGTTATATATATATATATATATATATATATATATATAATGCCTCTTTTTTCCTATCAGGGTCTGTCTTCTTGTTTTTAAATTTTGACTTTTATTTTTATTGTTTTCATAGATACAACAGAGAAATGCATAATGTCCAGTGAATTTATTACAGTTCCAAAGTCGGTCGCGCATGGTGGCTCGCGCCTGTAATCTCAACACTTCGGGAGGCCGAGGCGTGTGGATCACTAGGTCAGGAGTTGGAGACTAGCCTGACCAACATGGTGAAACCCCGTCTCTACTAAAAATACAAAAATTAGCCAGGCATGGTGGAACGCGGCTGTAATTCCCGCTACTCAGGAGGCTGAGGCAGGAGAATTGCTTGAACCTGGGAGGCAGAGGTTGCAGTGAGCCGAGATGGCGCCGCTGCACTCCAGCCTGGGCAAAAGAGTGAGTGAGACTCCTGCGCAAAAAAAAAAAAAAAAAAAAAAAAAAAAAAGTTGCAAAGTCATACTCACCTTTCTGCTCTTGTCAGACAATTAAGGGGTCTTTGAATACTTCAGCCCTAATAAGTTGCTTCCTAACATACATATTTCCGTGCTTATCTAATTTTAAATATCTTTTTGTTTCAACACCTAATTTTTTATTTAGATCTATCTGTATGTTTACAATGTATTTTGCTCTGTGTTCATTCTTTGATTTCAGAACTTCAACCTTTCTGAAGCATGTTTTCAGAGTTTCTCTTTAGTTTCTTTAGTGGAATTCTGCTGGTGGCGTTTTGTTTCTTGTCTCTAAATAAGTTATTTAGCCATAGGTTGATGAATATTTTTCTTGGTTGAGAATTTCAGAATGGCATTATTATTCTTAACAAATAATATTGTTTATTTTACCTTTCATTCTTTCAGATTTCAATATGATTAAAGGTAATTTGATTTTTCTAGTGCTAATTGAAATATTTTTCCCTTCCTGATTGTTTACTATTTCTCTAGGAGATACGTAGGTGTAGGTTTATCTCCATTGTAGCTTGCTTAGCATGCATGGAATTTTTGAACATGCGGATTAATGTCTTACAAAAGTCTAGAGAACTTTCAGCCAAAATACTATCACATATTGTCCCTTCCCAGTTCCCTTCTTCTATGAGAACACGCACTAAACACATGCTACACTTTCTCACTGTATCTTCCACGTCTCTTCATGATTCTGTCCACATTTTGCATTTTTTTAAATTTTCTGTAATGCATTCTGAAATATTTATGAACTCTCACCATGGCCATCTCTAATCTGATGAGTTCATTTTTGAGTTTTTAATTTAAAATACTATATTTTTATACAAACTGCTTTTCAAATTTGCTGCATCAATTTTTTAGTCTCCTAAAAATATATTCATTTTATTTTAAATTTTTTACAGCAAATGTGCTTTATAATCTAACAGTGATATTTCTACTAATGAACTGTTGTGGATCTGTTTGTACTCTTTTTCTACTTCCCTTTCAAATGGTGGAATATCATTTCCTTGCATACCTAGATGCCTTTGAATGACAAATATTTATTTTTCTCTGAAAATTATTTTTGTGCACTTTTGAGGATTAGTAAGAAGAAAATTTGCCAAAGAGAATTTGAATTTTTTTGTGAGTCTACTAAAGGCACCACCATTCTGGGACTACATTATGTTAATTCTTGGCCTAAAGGTGTTTGGACGTATGTTTGCACTGCACATTTAAACAATTTTTAAATTAATTGCTGTTAATTATTAATGATTGAGTTGCTTTAAATCTGTCCAATCTCAAGTCATTTTTATTTGCCGTTTCCAGGGAATGTGAAATGGGACAAATTTACCTCTGATTCTTCTTTATACTGAGGATAGAAATTTTGGTCCTAGCTTCAGGGAGGAGCTCCTGTGTGATGCCCTATCTTGGGAAAATCTATGTATTTCTTTACTGTCTTATGTGATGTATGACAGTAGGAATCTGCACTCATTCATTTTGGTACATGTCCATAGGGCAAAATCAGATTCGGTGTTTAGGTATATTTTGTCTGCTTCCTGCATTCCCATGGTTTTGACATTATATTTTACTTTTTTTTTGTGAACATACCAATGCTTCAATTTTTTTCCAGTAATATAATCAACTATATTATGAGAAAGAGAAAAATTTTGATAAAACACAAATTTCATGTTTTCCTACTCTAATTGGCTTTTACTTAACAATACAGGTAAAATTTAGTTGTGCTGTTTTGCTATTTCTGTTTGGCTATTCTCTGTTTGTCTATGTCTTCTCCACATAGGCACAATTAGGGAATTTCGTACACTCTTGTGCCAACTGCTTTGATAGTCACAAGATGTATTTCTCGAACTCCTAGGTATAAAACTCAAGTATCCACAATTTAAATTCTTTTTCCCTCACTTCTATTATGTGTCCAGTCTCAAAAGAAATCGATGCCAATCCAGAAATACAAGCATTATTCTAATACTTCTCACACATTACAGATATAGATTAAATTCTCTAGATCTCCTTAAATACTATCATTTTCACTACTTGTATCTTAACTGTTATGTTCAACATTTTCTATAATATTAATATGTTGTGAAAATTTCCTTACTTTCTTATTTGTCCCAGGTTCAATATTTTGCAGTCTCTACCACACCCTGTGAAGCATAAACATTGTACATGCTGTAAAAATAATACATAGTTCATGTACTTAGAGATTGCACAATTTTTATTTGGTTGACAATAGTTAATGTTTTCTTCTTCATTTTCTACTTCCTGATTTTTCTTTATTTAGTATATACTACATTATCATAAAAATAAGAACGTTTTACAAACTAAAGCAAAAGCAACCCTAGGAATAAAATGCACAATTAAGATATGTAAACATACAGTTAGATATACCACGTACCCTTCTAATTTATTTTCGACATTTAATTTTAGTACAATTTTAATTAAAGTCTGTGTATTATCTGTCATCGTCTTAGTATTTTTTATATAACAAATTTTGTAAATCAGAAAGTCTCAATGTCGTTATAAACTACCTTGGCAGAGGTTGATGTCCAAGGAATAATTTCTCTCCCAAATTATGTCAATCAGAATTTCACTCTACCATAATTCTTTTAATCAGTTTCAGAGGAATAATAAATTTCAAAATTGTTCAAGGTACTTGTTGTAGTTCAAGTACATTTTGACAGGTGTAAAACTGTAGACTGACTGATACAAACATATTCTAATTGACTCAAAACTATATAGGACCTGTTTTAAAATCTAGATTTTAAAATGTCGTGTCAACACACACATGTTCTCCTTGTGAAATAATTGCTTTTTATTCTGTGGATAGAATAATTTAATCTTTAAACCTTTAATTCACTGTTAAAAACAAAATATTACATAACGATATGCTGATAAAAGTAATTCACAACTAGCTTTTCAATTCAGAAATATATGTGAGAAATCATCAAGCATCTAATGGATTTCAAGGAGAGATGGGTTAGTAATTTATTCCATATGTCTCAATTTTTCCTAGACTCAAGGCTTCCTTTAAAATAATTGTAGGCATTTAAGAAACCATGTAAACTAAAAAGAAGAAATTGTGACACTGCCGCTTAGGTTTTTTAAATCTTTGGACATAAATCAATATGTTTTTATATTTTATCTTAATTAGACATGGTGAGTTCACCATCTTCCTGTCAGTATAGCATCCAAGCTGATTATCATAGACTACAAGTTACACTATCAACTGTGTTCTGAGAGTCTAAAAAAATAAATGAATGTATTTGTTTGGGTATTTTTAAGCAGGAGTGAGGACACAGTGAAAGTGAGAAAAGGAAGAGAGAACAAACTAAAACAGGAAAGATAGAAAAGCCAATACCACACGTGCTAAGAGGTAAGTTTCTGTGTTAGATATCTGGGCTTAATTCTCTGGGAAGCTATGTGGAACATGCCTCAGAATTACATCACTGAATCCAGGGAGATTCTTCTTAGTTACCCTCACCTTTTCTTCCCACTTCATGCCCAGTATCAAGCTCCCGTACTGCTAGAGAAAGTCCTCAGCTAGAAACAGGTGCAAATTCTGGAGATGAGACCTTGTAGAGTGTTAAGAATTGTTTTTTTCCCAGCAGCTACAGGTAAAGAATAGCGGCTGGGCTATTAATACATCTGCTACAAATCAATAAAACCCTTATGCTCCTTTTGGTGATCGACAATGTATTTAAAAATATTAGATGATCAAGAATGGCTGCAGAAAGGAGGAAACAGAAACAAACAGCACACCTCTTGGTTTATTTTTATTCATTTCATCAGTTTCAAGGAAAATGTGTTGGGAGTTCCTGGCATAGAGAATGTCACAAAGACATGTTTTCAATAGTGGTGCTATCCCAAGGGCACAGAAGGCCCAGAGAAAGCCCAAGTGCCTGCTAGAACAAAGTCAGACACCTTGCCACCTGTCTGCACTCCTTGGCTCTGCCATCATGCTGAAGATCGGTTTAAAGGACTGGCTTCCCTCCCTCCAAAATTAAAAGAGCACAAACTGAGAAACTGAATGTAGGAGACAGCAGTGGATTATGCTGTTCTCAGGGGTCACCTCAGGTTTGGAAGCATTCTTTCAAATTAACCCATCTCAGGCCATCTGCAGAGAAGAAAGTTGGTACCTAAATTTTTTTCTTGTCAGCATTTTGTAGGGATGTTTTATTGACCAAATATGCTCCCACAACCTAGTTTTTTGTAACTAACTAAATATAGTAGATTTTTAAATTTTATCATCAAAATCTATAGACAATTTTTGATTAAAATAGACTCCACATCTATGTCCTGCTTTTCTTCTTCTTATTAATTACATTGCTGTATCAAAGAAAAAGACTTCAGAATCAAGAATATCTTGTCTCTTTGCATTGAATTTATACAAGGTGCTCTTTCTTTAATGCTGTCTCAAAGGATATATTTTTACTCATTAAAAAGGAAGATCGGAATCTTGTACGTACTGCTCCAACATATTAATAATTAAAATTAGGAGGTAAATGTGGTCAAAGCTAGAGAAAGACTTGAGATGTCATTTATATTGATTACTGTGTAGCACTCTACAAACAGACATTTTTAAATATTAGTTTATATAAATATTTTGTAGCATTTCAAATATTTGAGTGCCTGAAGTTTCTACTATTATATAGTTCAGATAATCAATTTGAAGACTTACTCCACTAGTTAAAATGTTTTTAGTCTGGTTTGAGTATTACATAAAAGCAATTTTCAGTTAAATGGGTTCTGCTTACATAAAACATTACAAATTATTGAGTATTTAATTACAATTTCATGTTCCTGTAATGTCTTTAGAAGATTTTCGTATTATTACCTATCAATATATGTATGCTTTGTCAAAGAAAAATCAAACATATATATCATTAAAATTGATACTTTTTAAAAGTACTTATTAATTCTATTCAAAAACCACATGCATAGGAACAATTACAATATAATATTGTGAACATGTAAATATATATCCTATGTCAATTTTATATATAAGCATATATGATTAAAAATATAGTTAAGAATTTTTAAACAGTATTATAAAGTAAAAATCAGTTAAACTTCTGATGATTATTTGTTAATTAAGATAATATTATTTTGAATAGGGTGATTTTAAATAAACAAAAATATTAAATTACATGAAAAAATTCTTTATAAAATGTTTATGATTTTTACATTGGTTTTATCACTTTATTCCACTATTTTATTTTAAGATAACCTGCCTTGTTTAAAACACTGTATTCATCTTAATTAAATTAAATTCCATTTGTAAAAAAATTAACAAATGATTTACTCTATTATACAGTGCGGTTATAAACTGAGTCAGTATCTCAAGATTTATCCCCATTATCGTCATCTGTGGCCCTATTTGTTTTATAAATGTATTGTCTTTTTCCATGCCTGTCACATCTCTATTGCTCGTTCATTTTTCTCTTTGTCCCTTACAGGGAGCATTGCCTATCTCTAGATTAAGCAAAAGTTGCATATTAACAAAGCACAATAACCTGCTCAATCTTTCTCACACAGAGAAATGTTTGTTAAGTAATTAACGTGTAGATGATGATACAAAGAGCTTGATTAAATTAGATGTCAAAATACCCTTGTGATTCAGAATATGAATGGTATTTAATTTCTTTGAAATCAATAATTGCTGAGTGACATTAATTAATGCCAATATTTCAGAAGTTGTTCTAGTTAGTGAAATGTATACAACATCCAAAAATTTCAGAACTCTGAAGGACAACATTATTCTATAGTTAAGAATTAAGAATCAATTCACATTAATTATTGGAGAGAAATAATTATTAAGAATTAATGACCGAGAAAATGTTTTCATTTTTTATTTAGAAAATTATTTTGTGCGTGAGCGTTAATGCAAGTTTTTCAAGAAACATACATTTAAAGAAACAATTATGTGCACAAGGTGAATTTAATAACATCTTGATATTTTCCACGATTAGAGTTTTATTTGGTAAATCTTTAAATGCACATCATCTAAAGATAATAAATGAATCTTGGAAATCTTGTAGGTAAGGATAAATATTAGGATGCATCCAATTACATTTACACACACATACAATTACATTCCCACCCATACATGCACACACACTCACTGATACACATGTGTGTATATATATACACATGAACTTACTAATTGATTTTAACTAATATTTATAAGAGCCAGTAGGATTGATATATATTGTTGAACCTGAAAAATATTTATTATATACATGTTTAATATACACACAGAAATATATAGTAATTGCACTAGGCTTTTGCAACTGTACTAAAATATAAGCTGTGAATATTTTGTGATCACTACAAATTCTTACACCGAATATTTTTATTTTTATAATATTAATATGTTTGGTACATGTGTACATTTTTTACAATGTGTTATTTTATTTTTGTCATAGAGTCATGTAAGGCATAATAACATTTCTGTCAAAGATGGATTACATATACAAAAGTGGTCCATGAGATTATAATACATATTTTTACATACTTTTCTGTGTTTAAGTATGTTTAGATACATAAACTCTTATCACTGTGTTCTTATTGCCTGCAGTATTCAGTACAGTAATGTAGTACACAGGTTTGTAGCCTAGGAGAGAGAGGCTCTACCATATAACCTAGACGTGGTAGGCTGTACAATCTAAGTGTTTGTAATATTCTCTGTGATGTTTACAAAATGATGAAATTGCCTATGGATGCATCTGTTAGAACGTAACCCTATCATTCAGTGATGCGTGACTGTACTAAAATGCTCAATCCAAGTTTCAATGCCCTCCATAAAATTGTTGTACTGTGAAATGCAAATCTCTCACCTATGGCCTGAACATGTTTGCAAACTAAGCAGATCATGGGAAGGAGAATGTGCTGGCATCGCTGGGATGATTTTCTCACACTACATGAATAATATCTCCAGACTTTTCGAATATGACCCACTTGCATAAAGTAGGCATCTCTTTGCTGGGAAATTTATCAAATGGGAGTGTGAATAGTTTTTAAAAGACACTTGTTTGTTTGTAGCCTGTAGGCCTACAGTGTCTCATGGTAATGGTTGAGGTTGCTAAGATTTGGTGGAAGGAGGCAAAATGAAATGGCCCCTTATATGGTATATGGATCACTTGTTTCTGTTCAGTTACAGATTCAGCTGGTTATTTCTCCCAATGTTAGTTATTTGGAGAAAAAAACATGACGGTAATTTTGGGGTAACAAACACAATATTTGATGAAAGCAAATTTATTAAGGGTTAGACAAACTACAAGATAATTTAGGCTGCAAAGTCAACACGAGACTTCTGACCCAAATTGTGCAGAGTTTGGGTCCAGCTGCAAAGTTCAAAGGAAGAGGCCATATAAGACGATTCTCACTTTTGACACCAACTGCAAGTTCAGGGGTTTCCCCAGAACACCCTCAGTTTCAAGAATTTACTAGAAAGACTCACAGAACTCATTGAATGCCATTGTACTCATTTTTTATAATAGAGAAAGGGTAGGAATTAGGACCAATCAAAGGAAGAGACATATCACATAAGGTGGAATCTAGGGAGATTTTGAATGTTAACTTTCCATTGTCTTCAGGACATATTACCTGCCATTGTTGTACAGCAATAAACATGGAGTACTACCAACCTGGGGAGCTCACCTGATGCTAAAAAGACACCATTTTGAAAATGAAAAGACAAAGGAAAGGATGAGATAAGATGACCTTCCACTTTAAGGCACTGGAAAAAAATAGCAAACTAAACCTAAAGCAAGCAGAAGGAAGAAAATAAAAATTAGAGAAATTAATAATTTATAATATTAATCATATTTGTTGGTATTGACTAATTGATATTAATTCCTGACTAACTTTTTTTAAAAAGAGAAATATTCACTTCCCAATTTATTCTGTGGGGCCAGTGTTACCTTGATATGAAATTTAGTCCAAATAGCATAGAAAAATAAAACTACTATTAGTATAAATGCAAAATTCCTTAAAAAATACTAACAAGTCAAATGTAACAACATATAAAATAATTATACACTATGACAAAGTGAAATTTATACTAGTCATCCCAGGTTGGTTTAACAGCCCAAAACCCATTAAGGTAATACATCTTATCCATAGAATAAGAAACAAGAATTGCGTGATCATATCGATAGATTCAGAAAAGACATTTAAGAAAATCCAAATGCTTTAATGATTACAAATAAAAATAAAAACTCAATGAACCAGGAATAGAGAACTTTCTACACCAGATACATGGCACCTGTGAAAAGCCAACAGCAAACATTCAACTTAGTGGTGAAAGAAAGGATACTTTCCCACAATGGTCGGAGATAAGAATAAGATATACACTTTGACCTCTTCTAGTCAACACTGTACTAAAGATTTTATGCACGGCAAATCGGCAAGTAAAGAAATAAGAGTCACCCATATTGAACAGGAAGAAATAAAACTTTATTTGCAAATAACATTCTTGTATATAGAAAATTTTAAGGCATCCACTGAACAATAGAACTAGTAAATTATTTCAGCAATATTACAGCATACAAGATAAATATACAAAAATCAATTGCAGACATCTACAATGAAAACCCCAAAATGAAATTAAGAAAACATTTCAATTTGCAACAGCATCAAAAAAATAATAATTAATTTGGAAAATGTGATACAAGATTTTACTCTGAAAATTAAAAATTATTGTTTAAAGAAGATCTAAATAATTAGCAAACATCTTACAGCCATGAATTGGAAGATTTAATATTATAGTACTTTACAATTTGAACTACAGATTTGATGAAATCCCTACAAGTATCCCAACAGACTTCTGTCTAGAAACTGACAAGGTGATTCTAAAATACACAGGGAATTGTAAGGGACTCAAAATAGCCAAAATAGTCTTGAAAAAAGAAAACATATTAGTATAATTCACACCTCCGTGCTCCAAACCTTACGAAAAAGCATCAGTAATCAAGACAACACAATACTGATGAAGGAAAAAATATAGATTGATGGAAGAGAATTGAGAGTCCATATATAAAACTATGTATCTATAGTCAATGGATTCTTACAGTGGTGCCATTTGCAATTCAATGAGGAAGAGACAGTCTTTGAACAAACTGGGTCAACAACGTACACGTGGATCACCACTTGCAAAATAATAAATTGGAACCCTTACGCCAAAGCATACAAAAATATTAACTCAAATGAATTAAAGACATACATGCAAGAGCTAGAATAAAGCATATGGGAAAATCTTCAGGATTTTGGATCTAGCAAAGAAATAGCTGTAACACCAAAAACATGAGCAACAAAATAAAAATTAGATATTTAAAATTTCTTAAAAATTAAAGACATTGGTGTTTCAAAGGACAACCAAGCAAGTCAAAAGGCAGCCCAAAAACTGTGAGAAGATATTTGAAAAACACATATCTATATGTCTGTGTATATATGTATCTTGAATACAGAAAAACTGTTTTAACTCAGTAACAAATATCCCAACTCAAAACTGATAAATGATAGGAATAGATGTGTTTCCCAAGAAGATACACGAACGGTCAATAATCCCATATAAACGTACTCAATAGCATCACTCATCAGGCAACTACAAATCAAAACCACAGTTAGACACTCTATGGTTAGAATTGGCCACTTTGGAAAATACTTTGATGGCTTCTAAATATATTAAACATAGAATTGTCATATGACCTAGAAATTTATTCCTAGGTATACACCCAGATTATTGGAAAGAGGTGTTCAAACACAAATTGCACACAAGTATTTTTAGCAGCAGTATTTAAAATAGCCAAAAACTGAACATAACTCAAATGTCAATAAAAATATTATTGGATAAACAAAATGTTCTATCCGTGAAATTGAATATTATACAGTTATAAAAAGAAATAAAGTACCAATACGTATATGAACCTTGATAGCATTATGCCAACTGAAAGAAGCCAGGCACAAAAGGCCACCTATTGTATGACTCTATTTAGATGAAAATAGAATAGGAAAATCTATAGAGACAGAAAACAGATTTGTGGTTGCTTAGAATTGAGGAGGGGATGGATGCATAGGAGGTTAACAGCTAAAGAAGGTGGGGTTACTTTTTGAAGTGATGAAAATGCTCTAAAATTCATTGTGATGATGGCTCCACTTATCTGTGCATATACGAAAAGCCATTGACTTGTAGACATTAATGTGTGCACTCTACACTATGTAAATTATATCTCAATAAATCCTTTCAAAAATACACAGAAGTGTAAGGGGTTTTGGAGTGTTGCAACTGGGAGGCAGTTTGAAATACTGAATAGACCTCATTGAGAGTGTGAGGTTTCAGTAAAGACTTGAGGAAGTTGAATGAGCTGATCAATGGATATATGGAGGGTTATCTTTCCAAGCCAAGAAATTAACTAGTCTTCGTCATAAAACAGCAGCATGTTGGCATGTCCAGAGGACAGTGAGGTGGCTAGGAACACTGGTAAGATCAAGGGTGAAGATATAAAAGAATTTGGGCGGTTAACATGCGGCAGATCATGATGGGCTTGCAGACCATTGTAAGAATTGTGGCTTTTAGTGTAAATGAAATGGGGAGACAAATCATTACCCCATTATCAATATTTTAATAAATTGGGTCCATGAACGAAATACAATGAGATTAAATCAGTTAGAAATAATATGCAAATTTGTATTAAAATCACAAGAATTACTTGCACATTTGAGAACAGGAGAGTCATGACTGTTTATCAGCAATAATAAACATTATTAATTTTAATTGTGATCAGCTAATTGAGATTAATTGCAATACATCATGCTTTACAATGTGACTGTCCAAAGGAAAATATGATTGTAATCTTATACTACATCTATCAATGTCTTTAATTCATAGGACTATAGAGTAAGCCCCTAGTTTTCAAAGCCAACTTATGAGGCAGTGACATCTTACACAAGTTTGCTGCTTTCTGCCACAGTGGTCCTTGGTCAGCTGGCACAAATTGTTTTACAAATGCCACTAGGTCTAAAAACAGTTTGGATCACAATGAACACAGAAACACCCTCTTCCCTTCAGAAATACCCATGAATTACTTCCAATACAGAATGAAAAATTGACAAAAGAAATATGTTGATTGTAAAAATGCCAGTTAGCTTGCATCTACATGAAAGAAAAATGCCAATTTTATTACTTTAGATCATTGTTTTACATCAGTTTTGGTATAGCACAATGTTGAACCAAGGGCAAAGAGAGATGAATTAATGAAGTCTTAAGATATCAAGAATTTAAAAGAAAAGGAAGGTCATATTTGAAGGTTAGTGACATAGCATTCATCTTCTGTGGTCACTTTTTCCGTCATTCCCTGTATGCCTGATGGACAGCTTTCACTCAAGTTCAGAGAACAGCATGCAAAGATTAGCTACCAATTAATCTGTATGAAGTGAGCTTAATTTCTAGCCAGACTGAGCTTACGTTTTAGCAGGAAGCATTTTTGGGAAGTGTTTATGTTAGAGTTTGCCCTTCTTGACAAGGTGAGACATAAATGTCTACTTTGTAGACATGAATTAAGATGGGAAGATATTTGGGGGAAACATTTACTCAAACGCTAAATAATAAAGGCACACAAAGGGCAAATTATACTAGATTTTTTCCCGCTTGTTTTCTACGTCTCATGCAATTCACCTTGATTCCCTTCAGTTTCTGTTTAATGTAGAAAGTGGCATTTTCATTACTTTAAGCTTCTAGCACAATGAAAGAATTTCTCTCTTTCATGAACTGCATCATAAACGAAAGGGAGGAAGAGTGTCCTATATCAATCATATTTATTGTTCAACAAAACACTGCTCCACGGCTTAAATTCAGTTTAAAAAAGAGAGTTTATTGAATATCTAACACATACATAAAAGGTAGTAAAGACAAATGAGAAGGGGGCAGGTTATTGAAGTATACAGACTTTAATGCTGAGTTTTGTATCTTAGGAAGTTACTCCACCTTACAGAGGCTCAATTTCCCCTGATTTAGGAAGGCGATGCTAATGGGTATTGCCTTGGTGTATGTATAAAAATGTTGTATTTAAGAGAATCCCACAAGCTTGGTATAAGGCAGAAAATAAATAGATATGACATGAATAAGTAGTTTATTACATTTGTATGCTACCTGCAGACTAGAGGAAGCAAGAAACACAGCCACTATGCTTGATTAGCATTATATTCTAATTTGGAATATAAATAGAAAAGAGAAAAATAGAAAGCTGTGTATAAACACGTGCATTAAAATTAATTTTATGTGGACTCTTTCATGAAAATGTTCCTAAGGTATTTTATTTTTTATTGTGGTAAAATAAACATAACATAAAATGTACTCTGTTAACCATTTTAAGTGCACAGTTCAGTGGTACTAAATACAGTCATAACATTCTGCAGCCATCCCTACCATCCATCTCCATAACTCGTTTCATCTTGTGAAACTGAAACTCTATACCCATTAAACAATACTTCCCCATGTCTTCCTCCCCCCAGCTTCTGGCAACCATCATTGTACTATCTCTGTGATTCTGTCCACTTTAAGTTCCTTATACAAATGGAATTATACTGTATTTGTCCTTCACTGACTAACTTATTTCACTTGGCATAATATCCTCAAGTTTCATCCAAGTTGCAACATATGTCAGAATATTTCCCTCATGTTTAAGGCTGAATAATATTCCACTGTATTCATATATCATATTGTGCTTATCCATTCATCTGTTGTTGGACACTTCAATTGCTTCTACGTTTTAGCTATTGCCAATAACGCTGCTGCAAACATGGATGTGCAAATATTTTTTCAAGACTCTGCTTTCAATTCTTTTGCTATCCTGAGATGTGGCGCTGCTGAATCATATGGCAATACCATTTTGATGTTTTGAGGAACTACCATACTCTTTTCCGCAGCAAACATAGCGTTTGGCATTCCCTCCAATACTGCAAAACGAATGGCCACATCCTTGGCTGTAGATTTTATTCACAAGTCCTGTGGCTCTCTCTACATCCTGGCCACCATGTGTTATTTCCTGTTTATGTATATGACATCAAAGATGCAGGAAGTAATGAACTAAATTGGAAGGATAAACGTAGAAAAATAGAGGTAAATACTGACTACATAAAACCATAAGAATAAGAATTTTGGATGATCTATCTATTATATATCTATTTATCTAACATCTATCTGTTCCTCCATCTGTAATTAAAATATATTACAGTTAGAGAACAGAGGAAAAAGGAGGAAGACATGTATTTAAATTTTAATTCTTCTTAAATTGTCTCACAGCATCATTATAGGAAAGAAAATTTATAGGTCAATATCTGTTAACTATAAATGTAACATTCTTAAAGAATTCAAATATATTGATTTACAGCATGAATAATATATTACAATCCATTCAAGTTTATTTTATTCCAGGAATACAAAGCTACAAATTTCATTTGCAATTCAAGAAAAACAGAAATTGATACATATGATTGATGTATATACACACTTAATGTATTTTTAAATATACATTTTTTTAAATAGAAATTTTTCTAGGACAAATACTTAAAATATCACTGAAAAAAGCGTTATTAGCTAATACCTCCCTAATAACTCTGGTATTACATAAGAAACCAAAATTAAAATTTCAGGTAAACTCAGAAACTAAAAATTTTAAAAATATTATTCTGTTCTCCATATGTTCATAATTAATATTATTTCTTGTTTTCATTCGTCTTCAGTGTTGCTCTACTAAAATATAACATACAATACTAACTTTTGGTTTCTGTTCTTATTACTCAGAATTGTATACATTTTCTCATGCTCTTAATTTAGTTATGCTACTTTTCTGTACTCTTGGAATTTTCACATTTGTGTTCACTCTCTTTTGAGTTCCCATAGTATCAAATGAGCTTTTTTCCCTCTTTCTGATTTGAAGATTCATCTTCTCATAATTATTTTGTCCACTCAGTTTCTTTTCATTCTCAGTTAAGTGCCTCTCATCTGGCTTCTTTTCATTTATAAGGTTTCCTTTCATCTTAAGCCAGTCTTTCATTTATATTTTGATTCTGTTTTGTGAAGGACATGCTTCCCTGAATTTTATGGAAGAGGCCAAAAGGTTTGTTCAAGTTTTTACCTGATACATTGGATTAAATTATCTAATGTACACACTCTTAATTTAAGTCTAGGGGTGACTGTCTACTCTTGATTTGTATAGTATTATTTTTCTTAACATCCAAGTCCATCTTCATCTATTTGTATAAGATCAATGAAAATATATTTGCCCAGAACCCTGTTTTTGCGGAGTTACTTCTTTCTAAGTAGTAGAGGTAGCAGTTGAGACATGAGCTGGGTTCTGAGTCAGTTTAGAGGGCTGGGTGACATTCCTCCTTTTGGTCTGTATGACTGAATGAATGCAGTTCTTGCTGTCTCGCTCCTCTCCTTAACACACTGAGCCTTTGCAGCAGATGAGAAGGAATAATCTTGATCTGCCATTCAGGTGGAACACATGTTCTCTCCAACCACACCCATAGGTTGTACTCACACTCGGCCAGAAGGTATCCTGTCAATGATATGGAGATGTATCTATCTATCTAGATAGATATCTACTTTGGTTTATGCTCTCTGGTTTCCCGTAAATTATCTCCTTAAAGTGAATATCAAAAGAGAGCTTGGTGATGGCAGTGTTATAAAATCTTCAAAATGCAGCACCCACACCCAGAGGAATTTGTAGATTCTGGGATTCTAATTCAGATACCAAACTATATAAAAGGGGAATTGGTAATTGAGGGTTGCTAGGCTCTTTGTTGAGCATATTTGCTCTTTTCGTGACATTGAAATTATTTTAAAAATCTAACCTTTTTCTCGGTGTGCTGCAAGATGATTTTATTTTAATGCATAAGCACTAATTCTCCCCTAAGATTTGTACAATATATTTCCTCTGACAAGCCATAGCCAGTAACTCACTTCACAGCAATTTATAGCATTTCCACGATAAGTTGAATTATTTTTAACTAGACTCTCTTTGCCTTAATACAAATATGAAGAAGCAATCTACTTGTTCTAATTAGGTTCAAAAGTTGGCAGTCTCTCTCCTGGAAAGAATAATAAAACTTTTCAACAGCCTAATATGCATCTATAGACACACACACACGCAAGCACTATTCATAAAACTTAAAGCACATTCTGTTCTATGACTTCATTTGTCTCGCACAAAATAAAACGATCTCAGTATATGTCAAGTACCAATTTTTTATATGGCCAATTATAGATATTTTATTTTTTAAAAATTAGGGTGTTCTTGAAGCTCTTTCTATTTCTTTGTCAATGAACTAAACATTGGCAAATATGTAGGGTTGCCCACGTAAGAACATTATTAACATCAAAATAGAAAGCTGGTGGTAGAAATAATGATTGGGAACACAGAGTCTCTTCTCAACTTTCTAGTTCTGTCATACCATAACTTTGTGATCTCAGGAAATATCTCTCCATGTTGTCATCTCTATGTATAGTTTTGTCATTTTTCAATACGAGCTTTTTGCTTAATTATGAAGTACTAGTTACTATAACCATTATTTTGAGCTTCATGTAAATCAAGAACACATGGACTCCACTTGCAAAACATTGAAAGTGTAGTTAGGGATTGGGGGCATAAAGCAACATTTTAAAATGTGTAAAGACAATGAGTAAGCAACAAAGTGTCCAATTTTTTATGGGAAAGTTGCTTACATCAGGAAAAGACAGGATTAAGTAACAGAGAATTTGAATGATAACTGGCCAATTGGTGTCATTTACAATTGCAAGTCATACAAATGAAGTTTGCTTTTTTAAAGAGAAAAGGAGTTATTTAGAATGGGTCAACCTATTGGGGAAGCAATGTAGTTAGAGACAATGCCCAAAACCATGTGAGCAAATACTCTGTAGAGCGCACCCCTGCAATGCTGCCATTGTGAGGCCAATTCTCTCCTTGTCTTGCTACTGAGCCCTCCATTCTGCCTCCATCATTGTCACTGTAGCTGCCACAAAATGATCCCTCAACCACCGCTGCCCAGGAACAAAGAAAGAATTCTGTCCTTCTGCGCTCTCAGATCAATTTCCAACAGCAGGTGAGCCTTTGATGGGCACTGTTCAGTTCCCATATCCCTGAAATAGACGCAGTAAAAACATAGAAATTGCCTATGTGTTTCCCAGTAAGACACATATGGAAGCCTGTTTTCCCACAACAGGAAGGGGTTTGCATGATGGGTGTTCAAAGGAACAATAGTCCCTGTAAACCATACTTTGCCCATATGAAGAAAAGCAATAAGGATTATTTAATAAATAGACATGGAAGCTCATCCAGGGTTGGTTGATGAGAAGCTGGTTAGCAAGGGGTCTGCCTTCAGTTAGGACAAGGTCTGTGCTTCCCATGGGTTCTCTCCACAGCAGGAGGGAGGAAAACTTCCCTTTCCTCCCCTGCACCTACCCTCAAATGGCCCAGAGGTCTTCAGGTGCTAGAATTTCTCAATTAATGCTACACAAAATAACAGACAGCCTTGACTGTCACAGTCTGTTCTCATGAAGCTAGTCTCTGCTCACTACATAAAATAGGAGAGTAAGAACAAGGGTGTTTAAAGCTACCCTAGCTCAAACGTGTTTCTCTCCGTAGGATGCCAAGAACCTGGGAACCAGTGCATCTGCTGCTTTCCCTTCTCGGATTCTACCACAGACAAAAGAGGCAAGGGGCATTTCTTCAGAGGCCTTGAGCTTCACTACACAATGACCGAGGCTCTACATGCACCCTCTTTATATATTTCTACCTTGAAAAAAATTTTTATATAATATTAATAATATATATTTTTATATAATAAACACATATGTTTATTTTATAGATAGATATAGATATACATAGATAAAGATCTCTAGTCAGCCTTTTTTAAGGCTGGGCTGATCAAGGTGCCTCAAAAGTATAATCCCAGCACTTTGAGAGGCCAACTTGGCCAGATCTCTTGAGTCCAGGAGTTGGAGATCAGCCAGGGCAACATGGTGAAACTCCATCTTTACAAAAATTAGCTAGTATGGTGTCATGCACTGCAGTCTCTGCTACTCAGGAGGCTGAGGTGGGAGAATCGCTTGAGCACAGTATGTGAAGGCTTCAGTGAGCTCTGATCACATGACTGCACTCCATCTTGGGTGACAAAGTGAGACCCTCTCTCAAATAAAATAAAATAAAATAAAAAGGCTATCACCATACTCACAGATAAGTGTGTCAGGTATATTTGCTGCTATCTTTCCTATATTCCATTTGGTAAAAAAAAAATTGCAAAGAACTCCTCTCATTCTAGATTTTTGTATTAATTAGACATTTGAAGTTTATAGCAGAAGAGCTATAATCATGTTTTGTGTGTGTACTCTATAGACCAGATAGTGCAAACAGGTATCAATGCTTTTTAAAAGTATATAAGGTTATTAGAAATATTTTAAACTACCTATAGGTATATATGTATGTAATTGAACTATCAAATGCAAGTAAGATCATTTCCTTAGCGTGTGAAATCCACTCAATTTATTAAAATATTTTCTAATATCTATTACAATAATATTTCTTAATTAGCTAACATAAGAGAAGTTTTAAGACATTTATTTATATGTACTTACTAGATTCAAACTTGATTCCACTATTTTCAGAAATCATACTCTGAGACAAGTCCTTTTTTTAATCTAACTATGTTTCTGCCTATATTAAAAGACAGATATGTCAATTTTGCTAATCGTGCTTTTCCAAACCTCTCCTTCCTGATTATTTTTTGGTTTGTTCCACCAGTCACTCAGAGACTTACTTATATTCAAATTTCTCTCTAGGTTTAACATTTGTGTATGTCTTCTTGGTTTTGTCTATTTTTGCTGTATATATTTTATTGACATATATCATACATGCAGAAAAGTACAATGATTAAATATGGATAGCTTGATTAATGAAACACATGTATTTGCTTATAACCATGTATGAAAATAGAACATTATTAAAAATAGTGATACTTCTCCTGCCCCTTTCCAAACACTAACCCTCATCCTCAATAGTAACAGATTTTTTTATCATACAGTAATTTGGTCTATTTTCAAATTTTTATTAAATAAATCACAGTATCTAAGTCTATGTTTCTTTCATTGTTGTTATTTTGCTTATAGTATTTATCTGCTAATGGACATGGTAGATTAAAGACGGCTACATACACATTTTTTAATTAATAGATTTTTTGAGCACTTTGTGGCTCATGTCTCTAATCCCATCACTTTTGGAGGCTGACGTGCGTGGATCATGAGGTCAGGAGATCGAGACCATCCTGGCCAACGTGGTAAAACCCCTTCTCTACTAAAATACAAAAAATTAGCTGATAGACTAACATCAAGATAACATCTGGGTTCTTAGCTACACTGAGTGAAGCCTACTTACATCTTTGTCTTCCGCTGCACTTTTGCTTCCACATCACACTCCAGGAATGCCAAGCTGTGCTGGCCTTCTACCCCATTTCCACTATTTTGTCCCGGCCGCAGCGGGTTTTTGTGGCTTTTTGCCCCCGCCACCGCTGCTTTCTGCCCCCGCCACCACGGCTTTTTGTCACCCCCGCCACGGCTTTTTGCCCCCGCGGGTTTTTGCCGCCATGGCTGTTTGCCCCCGCTGCCACGGCTTGTTGCCCCCGTCGCGGCGACTTTTTGCTCCTCCCACCTTAGGTTTTGTCTATTTGTACTATTCATGGGACTGCAGTTCTGGGAACTTAGTACTGGGTACCTAGTCAAGGAGGCATAAAAAAGCTTTGGTTATATCTATGCCTTTATCTGAGCTTGAAAGGGGAGAAGAGGTTTGGAATAGGAACATTGGAATATTTTTTAAAAGTGGCTCGCCTAAGAAGAAAAACAAAAAGGGAGTAATAATGGCATTGTGTAGGACAAAATGACGTGCCCTGGGGCTGTGAAGGAGAGTGTGAGTGTAGAAGAAAGGGCAGTGCTCAGACAGGCTGGGATTAAAACACTTCTTTGCCCAGGATAAAAAGAGGACCAGAGGTGGGATGGCCTGCAGAGGGCATGTTCTTCTACAAAGCCAGCACCCTGAGTCCCACCGTGTTCCTCCTGCAGGAGGGGAGGCCAGATTTGCTATTTTTCTGACTCTTCTGCTGTCACACCTGCCAAATGCTGCCAGTGGGCACTACCAGAACCTGGACACTCTTGGGCCAGCTGCCAAACAAGTGTGCCAACGGGAGAAAGAAGGAGAGCTCTGTGACGAGCAAGCCCTGACACTTTGTTAGGCCAACTGGTTTCTTAGGTTGCGTCTTGGTTCCTGGAACCATCTTGTACCTTGTGAATCTCAAAGTGGGATGTGGAATGCCTGCCAAAGGGAAATGTCAAGTGTGCTGGTCAAGAAAAAGGATTTTATAACTTTTTGGGCTTTTGATTTTTTAATTTTTTTTTAAATATGTGGTCTTTCACTATGTTGCCCAGGCCGTCCTTAACTCCTAGGCTCAAGTGATCCTCCTGCCTTGACTTCCCAAAGTGCTGGGATTACAGGCATGAGCAACCTCATCTAGGCTATAACTTTTTAAAATTGTGGGAATGTTGCCTTTACTTCAAAAAGGGGGAACAAGAAGAGAAAAGGGAAGAAAGGGATAGAGAAAAGTAATACTTTATTTTAGCACAGAGGTAGGAGAGGCTAAACCATGAAATTACACCTAGTGTTGGGATGTCCTGGGGAAAGGGGTGGAGGCAAGTGACTCTGTCTTGCTGATTTCAGTCTCCCCTGATGTCACTGAGGGACTTGGACTATGAGCAGAATTGGGGCAGGAGGGGCTCCAGAGAAGCCCTCCTCAAGCATGGGGGCTTCCAGCCTAACTTACAGTTCCAGGGTTGTTTGTGGTTGTTTTTAAATATCATGGACCAGCAAAATTAAAGAAAAATAACCTGAAGACAATACTGAATCACCCACTTTTTATTTTGCCAGGGAGAGAATCCCAGAGCTTCAATTATAACATTATCAACACAGTATCATTTTAACATCTCTCACCTCCATTGAAAAAACACACAACTGCATGATAAAAAGAGTCTAAGAAAGTTCAGCTGACCTCCAGACTGATTATTTGGAAAGATTATATATAGCCACTATAGTTAAATACTGATACTTACAAATACACATCCATAAGTGCTTATGTGTGCATACAAATGATTGTGTGTGTATATACTATGAAAGGAAAATAAATCTTGGGACCCCAAACTCTCTAAGGCAAAGGGGAAAGTTAAGCTGGGAACTGGGTCATGCAAACCTGCCCCCCAGTTTTGTTCCTAAATAAGACAGTTACAGAGATGAAAGGGTATATACCTCCCTCACAATTTTCCCACAAGGGAATTCCTGGTTGGCCCCACAATCTTTACCCTAAAGCAGTTCTGTTGAATTTCACTCTGACCGTGTAAATTCATTGCTGATCTTCTCAGGTATGGGACAAAGGACAGAACTGAAAAGTCATCTCTCCACTCACCTGAGACAAATGCCTATCTTACTGCCTCCTCTACCCTCTGTTTATTTAAGGTTATGTAATAATGCAGATTCACTGAGGACAAGTTGAATGCGTAAGTGACTATTCTCTACCCCCTGTCACATGTAAAATGTAGATTCAGAGAATGCTGATCCAAGACTAAAAAGATGCAACCTCTTGCCACTTTTATCTACCACCCTTTAAAAAGATTTTCCTCCTTCCTCTTTCCCCCAATACCTGCTTTTTTCCCTTTAAATATTGAGGTCCTCAGATTCTCTTTGGAAAAAAGCACAGACCACAGATTTTTCCTATGATTTTGTGTTCTTTTGTCCTAGGCATGTCCTTAACCTTGGCAAATAAACCTCTTAAAATACTTGTGACTTGTCTCTGTCATCTTTGATTTACAACACACATACACTGAGACGTATGAATAGGTTTAAAATATAAATACAAAAAAATAGCATCCATTTATTGACGGTATTATATTGCAGGTGATTTTTTAGAAGTGGGTCAATTAGAGGTTCATGTTGAACAGTGCAACATGACGTATAGCTCAAATATCTACTTGTAGACATTTTTCTGACCACATTTTAAATATAAGCTTATGCATAAGCCTCCTGATGAAAATGGAAGCACTATGGTTAGCTGATGCCGTGAAAGTGGTGGAGGCAGCCCGGCAGAGCTGGCTACAACTTCAGGAAAGGGGGTGCTGAAGGACACACTCTGCTTTCAGAGCCCTGCGGGGCTGCATCTGAAGAGTGGTTGCCCAGAGCAAGCATCTGAGAAGGCTGCTGCACACAGCAAAGCTTGGTCATGAGCCAGCTCTGCTTCTGGACCTGGAGTTTATGAACCAGTCACCAATAGAGCTGGAATGAGAAGATTGAGAAGTGTTGCAGAAAGTTCCAAGGTCTTCTGAGCCTTTGAGACATGATAATATGAAGAGGCAGAAGCCAACGTATCATAAGAAAAAAATAAATATACTTAGCATCAACCTCGGTGACCAGTGGGAGTTCTCGTCTCTAGCATCCATTAGAATCACCTGGGGAGCTTAACATCTAAAAGCAGGTCCCACTCCCAGAGGTTGGGATTTAATTGATTTGAGGTGGGGCCTGGGTAGCAACATTTTCTTTAAAGCTCTCCAAGTGATTCTAACATGCAGCTAACTTGAAAACCACTACTTCAAAGACAGAAAAGGATGCAGGAAAAATTCCCTCTCATCAGAGGTTGTGAAACTGATTCCCAAATTCTTAAAATTCCCTCTCATCAGAGATCTGCTAACTATTTGCAGTAGGACAAAACATTCTACTATCAACCGAAAGAAATAAAAATATTCTACCCCAAAATGTATTTCTTTGACATAGTTTGAGACTGCTTGCTCAGAGACCCAGCAAACAGAAGTAACTCTGCAAAGCTGTCTTTTGTGGGGGACTTTGACACCTACAGAGAATCTAAATTGATGCAGCCAGGCCTCCCCTTGCCCCACTCTAAAAGAAAAATAATGGAGAGTTTGACACCTTTAAAGGTTTAAGAAGAAAAAAAGCATTTACCATCTATTCTTTCTTTCTCTCTCTCTCTCTTTTTTTTTTTTTTTTTTGATGGAGTTTCACTCTTGTCACCCAGGCTGGAGTACAATGGCATGATCTCGGCTCACTGCAACTTCCACCTCCCAGGTTCATGTGGTTCTTCTGCCTCAGCCTCCTAGTAGCTGGGATTACAGGCAACTGCAACCATGCCCAGTTAATTTTTGTATATTTTAGTAGAGACGGTGTTTCACCACGTTGGCCAGGCTGGTCCCAAATTCCTGTCCTCAGGTGATCCACTCGCCTTGGCCTCCCAAAGTGCTGGGATTACAGGTGTGAGCTACTGCGCCCAGCCCCATCTATTGTTTTTGAGGGCTGCTACCTTTGCTAGCCAGGCCTCCTCTTCTCTCCCTCCCATAACCTGTTCTGCCATCATTACCTGTTTCTGAACCCCCATTTTTTCTGTACATCAAGATGATATATAAGCTTCTACACTCCCCTGGTGGTTGGGGTAATCACTCTGTGGTTCTCCCTTGTGTGCATGTTTATAAATGTTTACGCCTTTTCTTCAATTAATCAACCTTTTGTGACTTGATTTTTAAACAATCCTTTAGAGGGTGAAGGGAAAGTTCTCTCTTCACCCCTACACAGTTGTGTAGGGATTCTCTTTTTTCACTGAAAACCTCACCATAGTTAACAGGCAAAAAGACACCCTGCTCATCAAAACACCAATGAGATGGTACAATGTAAAGTAGCATTATGAAAGCCACAGGCATTAACACAACAAATGTCAACAGTACAAAAATTCCACAGACCACCTAGAAGCCACCAGCCCTTGGTTACCTTGGGAAGTGTCTGCCTGTGTGATGGGTGGGGTTGGCGTCAAAGCTGGCTGAAGGCAGAGCCGGGGCTTCACAGCTTTGGAGCATTGATTCCGCACCAGACACTAGGCATACCACACATTCTTGGTATAAATGATCTCATCTAATGTACGTTTGTTCACTCTGCCTTGGCCGCACAGTCCTCCTGTTACTTGTCAAATATGCCAGCCATGTCACCACCCTTCTTCCACCTGGAATCCTCTTCCCCAGATATCTACCTTTTTCAAGTCTTTGTCCAAAATCCACAGACTCTGTCATGGCTGTCTGAATACCCGATTTAAAGATGTCCGCAGTTGCTCTCTCTTCCTATTGATTTCTTTGTGCTTGTGCTACACTTTCTTCTTTTCAGAGCTTTTATCACTTTCTAGCATCTGTCTATTTATCAGCTATATATCTATGTGATATGGTTTGGTTCTGTGTCCCCACCCAAATCTCATCTCGAATTGTAATCGCCACTTGTCAGAGGCCTGGTGGGAGGTGACTGGATCGTGGGGGTGGATTTCCCCTTGCTGTTCCCATGATAGTGAGTGAGTTCTCACAAGATCTGATAGTTTAAAACTGTTATTTATATCCACTTCCTACTTCACTCTCTCTCTCCTGCTGCCACGTAAGACATGCCTTGCTTCCCCTCAGCCTTTCACCACAAGTGTAAGTTTCCTGAGGCCTCCCCAGCCATGCAGAACTGTGAGTCAATTAAACTTCTTTTCTTTATAAACTACCCAGTCTCAGGTAGTTCTTTATAGCAGTGGACTAATACATATGTGTATATATATACATGCATGTATGTGTGTATGTATGTATCTATTTATCTACCTATCTATATTACTGTTTATTATCTGTCTTCCCCATTAGACTCTAAGCTCCACAAGGACAGACAGTCTCTCTCTTCCACTAGACAATGTCTAACCATGCCTGGCATTTAGTCAATAAATATTTGATGAATTAACAAAAATATGTACTAACACTACAGTAAATTATTATTGTTATAATTATTTAACATAAATCTTCGCTAAAAAATAAATGCTTTATTCTTTAATAAAAAGAAAACAAAACAGATAAAGGAAGAAACTGAAAATAGAGAGAAGGGGGAAAAAAAAACTCCAGGTGGCTGTTGCTGATATTTGTATCATAAAATTATGAGCTTTGTGATTAATGGAAATATAAAAGTCACATGTGTGGCTCATAAAACTGAGGCTGGGTGATTTATATCCTCAGTTATTTTCATTATCCTCCCTTTAAGTAATTGTTTTTTTTTTGTAGTTTCCAAAGTTGACACCTGATATTCACTTTCCTCAATTTATCAATAGGAATCTGACATCCCAAAGGCTAATGTCTTGATTTTAAAACAGAAATCCCTTCCAAGAATTGCTCCCAAAATACATGCAGGTTGTTTCACTGCCTTGAAGAGTGAATATGCCTCTCTAATATTTATTAGGAGTTATTCTGAAAATAAACGGAATACAACAAATCACTCCAGTTCCTTTTGCTGACAATGCCTGCAGCCTTTCTCCAGTTCCCTAGGTGCATTGGAACTGCTGTCCCCATTCAGAATTCTGCATGCAAGCCTGCAATCTCTAAAACTCTTACGCAGCAGGAAAGCACATTTAAACATTTTACCTTTGCTCCCAGTGTAACAATAGAAAAAAATTTTATATTTTTACAAGATTTTCACTCTTCTAGTACTAAAATGTTTAAATGGACTCTGCATAGAGGATCAGAGGTTTTCCAGATGGTCAGAAGATGATTATGGCAGGCAAGGAAGAAGCAGAAAAGTCATACATGACTTGATAAAACAAGATATACAGTTACCAAATGTAGTGTGTTCAAGACAGGAGACTGTGAAATCATTATATTTTCAAAAAAGAGAGAGTAAGTACATCCCTGTAGAGTCAGATCTTTGCAGTTAAGCATCAAAATCTTTATCTTTACCAGATGCATAAAATGGAAAATACAATTTTGACACAGAGAGAAGGAAACACAACCAATTTCAGTTTTACCCTCCCCTTCACAAAAAAGCAATTTGTTGTAAATGCATTTAAAGAGGCACCCTTCACCACTACTTTCAGGCAAATGACAGCAGGTTAAAATGTAAAAAGAGCTTTCAGTCCAAATCCAAAATAAGGAATAAATCCAGATAATGTCAACTCACGTGAGTAAAAAGCAAGATGATTTCATTAGAATGATCAAAGGCAGTACAGAATTTCCATTAAAAAACGAATTTGCACGCTAAGCAAAAGTGATTTCAATTACTTCTTGCTAAAAACAAAGTAAGTTTGTAAAGTGCATACTTTGCGTGAAATCACCTTTGCAAAAACTGTGACAGCAAAAGAAATATGACCTAACTGACTCTATCTTGCTTCCAATCTCCAAGCTGCCCTGTTCTTTCCTGGGTGTAGGTTGAACTAAGTTTAGAAGAAATTTAGTTTATTGTTTAACTTTGAAGTAAACATGATAATAGCCCCTCCCTAAAACAAACCTCTTCTTTGATTGAGGACCACACCGCCTTTGTAAAACTAACAAATCATCCACAAGATTAAGAATTATGTCTCAGGAGTCAGGCAGCCAGAGGCCAAAAGATTCCTAACGTCTCCAATTTCTCCCATAGATAATATTACTACTATAAAACCTAAAATTGATGTTTGAGTATTTTTCAGACTCTGCATTCTGATGGACCAGCTGGCCCCACCCAGATCAGTTAACTGGCTGATCAGGTCTTGTGGCCACCACCCAGGAACTGACTCAGCCCAAGAGGACAGCTTCAACTCCCTGTGATTTCATCCCTGACCCAAACCAATCATCATTCTCCATTGCCTAGGCTCCTGCCTGCCTAAATATCTTTCAACAACCCTAGTCTCTGAATTTCAGAGAAGCTGATTTGAGTATTAGCAAAACTCTGGTCTCCTGTTTAGCCAACTCTATGTGTATTAAACTCTTTCTCTATGGCAATTCCTGTGTCTCAATAAATTGGCTCTATCTGGGTAGCAGGCAAGAAGAACCCACGGGGTGGTTACCAGTGCTGTGAAATGTGTATCGAGCATAAGGCTAGAAAACATCCTACACCTCCAGAAAGTGGTCCTATGTCATCCATAAAAGTAAGCACAAACTCTAGTTTATTATTTTCCAATCTTACTACATTCTAAAATAACTATTTATACACCAATGTGCTGTAACTGTAAAGCAGGGATCTAAATGATGTTGACTGGGCTGACTCCATAGGTAAGGGTGTTAAGCCTGCATGGTGAGATATATATATATAGGGAGCGAGAGGGAGAGAGAGAGAGGGGTGGGGAGTAGAGAGAGGGAGAGAGAGGCAGAGAAGGAGAGAGAGAGTGGGGGAGGGGGAGAGAAGAGAAAGAGAGTCAGAGTCAGTCTTGCTCTGTCACCAGGCTGGGGTACAGTGGCACGATCTCGACTCACTTCAACCTCCACCTGCTGGGTTCAAGTTGTTTTTTTTTTTTTAAATTGAACTTGAACCCTTTCATGCTGGCAAGCATGGACTCTGGTCCTCTACAAATTCTAGCCCTTGCTACAGTTTACACATTTCCCAATGTCTGGACCTTGAGGGTTTCTGTAACCTGGAGTAATCAGAATGGGCAGAAGACATCCACAGACCTACACCTTCCCTGCCATACCAGAGCTCTCAGAACTTATGGGAAGCTCTTCTTAAACTACTTCAAAAGCCAGTTATAAGTCAGAAATTCTTATTTTATCAGAGTCACATAGCATTTATTTTTCTTTTTATTATTCTTAGAGCTGGGATCTCACTCTGTCACCCAGGCTGTAGTGCAGTAGTGCCGTAATACCTCACTGTAACCTTGAACTCCTGGGCATAAGTGATCTACCCATCTCAGCCTCCTGAGTAGTTGGGACTACTGGCATGTGTCACCACATCTGGCTAATTTTTAGAGACAGGGTCTCATTATGTGTCCAGGATGGTCTTGAATTCCTGGCCTCAAATGATCCTCCCCCCTCCCTCCCAAAGTGCTGTGATTACAGGTGTGAACCCATGTGCCTGGCCTCACATTGTTGTGATCAGAAATAAAATTACTCAGGTTGTTCATGCCCCACTTTTTCAAAAGCATTTGCTGGGAAGGGCTTTGACTGGTTTCTGAAAGTCCCAAGTATCTGCTAAGTATATGCATACTAAAGATAAAGGTACTGTGGCTGCTAAGTATATGCATACTAAAGATAAAGGTACTGCGGCTCAAAGTTGTTCTTCCTTTAGGTGAAAACATGAGGTCGTGCTAGAGTCATAAGAGTCAGGGACTGGATTCCTGGTCCCTGTTTGTATGTGGATAAGTTAACTGACTTCTTTCAGTCTAATCAAAATGAGAGAAGATATCGTTTATTTAAAGATCCTGACATATACTCCTTCAGATAAGCCTTAAATCCTCCCCCGTCCCTCCTTCTGGCTTAGGAAAACATACAACTAAAAACTACAGCCCAATCTCTGCTTGAAACTTTGCACTGCTGAAAAAGATCTTGATATTTTGCTTATATTCTCTTTTGGTTATTAGTTATTTCTTTCCATCTTTTATATAAGTTGTGTGTGTGTGTGTTTTGTTTTGTTTTTGAGACAGGGTCTCACTCTGTCATCCAGGCTAGAGTGCAGTGGCGTGATCACAGCTCACTGTAGCCTTGACCTCCCTAGCTCAAATGATCCTCCCACCTCAACCTCCCAAGTAGCTAGGACCACAGGTGTATGTTACCACATCTGGCTTTTTTTTTTCTTTTTTTCGAGACAGAGTCTCATTCTGTTGCCCAGGCTGCAGTGCAGTGGTGCAATCTTGGCTCACTGCAACCTCCGCCTCCCAGATTCAAGTGATTCTCCTGCCTCAGCCTCCTGAGTAGCTGGGACTACAGGTGCACACCACCATGCCTGGCTAATTTTTTGTATTTTTAGTGGAGATGGGGTTTCATCATCTCCACTGTGTGTCTTCTCCGCTGTGTCTCTTCTCACCTTCAGCCACCAAACATTGAATGGTCATGTAGCTGGAGCCTCGGACACTGGCCCCTTCTGCTAGGGACCCTTAGATGGGCCTCTGAGGAGACTCTGAGTACTGTTTTCCCCAAACTGCCCCTGATAGCAGGAAGCAGTATCCTTATTCTAATGGTAGTTAGATGTACTTCTTTAGAAGGAGGAATGAGGCAGCTGAGTAAAAAGGGGCCATCAGAGAATCTCCCACTGGCCTGCACACTGAGAGGAGTGTGCACTGGTGTGGGGCCTTGGGAAGTTCATGGTGCGGGGAGCCTGGCCCCTTCCCTTCCTGGGTGGAACATGGAATTCAATCTGTGAAGCGGGAAGCCTATGCTAGCAGGACTCTCAAACTGCTGAGGGGTCCTGGTTCCCCTTTATCCTTTTTGCTTAATAAATTCCATTTTTCTCACCCTTCAAAGTGTCTGTGAGCCTAATATTTCATGACCATGTGACAAGGACCCCATCTTTAGCTGAACTAAGGAAAAGCCCTAAAAATGTCCTGTGTCTTTCAGCGCTTGTTGGGTTCACAGCCTATTAAATAAGCCAGCTGCTCTTTACCCTCCCAGACAAATCAACTTAGGGGAGGTAGCAGGGTGCGGGCCTTGGCCTGATCCCCGGCTGGGGCTGGGCTGTGATGTGGGCAGGCAAGCAGCAGACAAGACTGTATCTGCAGGTGCAGCATAGCCTCGACCTAGGGCGGTGAGAGTTTGTGGCCAAAGCTGTGAGCAGAGGCACAGGTGGTGACAGGAGTAGAGGTGCCCCATGGGGAACATACTGACCTGTTTTGTGTGCCCCAGGACCAGCCCCGAGTTGGACCAGCACAAGGGGTTGGTGTGTCCCTGTGAGTCTGAGATCTATGAGGCAGCAGCTGGGTACATGATGGCAGGAGCACTGGTGGCTCTCATTGTAAAGCCTGGTGAGGGGACTTTAGAAGTTTGTCATCTCAGGGCCTCCATGTGCATCACATCTGTGACTGGGAGATGCCTGAAAGTAAGGAGGTGACATGTGCCCTTGGCACACCTCTGGCTGCTGCTGTCCCCAAGGTCCCCCGGGAGGCATCCCCCTCTTTGAGCTCCTTTCTGTCTGTAGCTAGCTTTCCCAGGGCTGGCCAGGAACAAAGGCTGGCTCTGCCTTGCATTCCCACCCCTTAGTCTTTCTCCACAGAGTCAAGACAATTTCCTTTCACTTCCCCTCCCAAATGCCCAGTTCTTTCTCCCTCTATCATTCTCCCAGGCTGGCATGGGACCATTTATTTATGGCTTTTCTTGTCTGTAGCTCTATTTATTATCCTATGGGACTTTGTGGAGGCTTCTTTGGAATATTATCTCCCTTCTCTCAATAAAAACTCAAATATCCCAACTTTCCTGTACCAATCTCATTCTTTCTTTGTACCTATCCAGATAGTACCTAAGTGAAGGAACTAGGTAATTTCTTGTTTCCTTTGTTAAAGTAGCTAAATCTCAGGACAATTCATACTGAAATATTTGAGGATTTCTTATTTAAAATCAGAGTGGAGGTTGCCATGGAAAGACTATATGGTATTCTTAATGGGCTGCTTTAAGTCACCTTGATAGAAGCTGCTTAGTTTCATCTAACTGTAATTTGAACACAGAAGGACAGAAAATGGGGGGTGCTTAAAATAATTGGGAAAGGTGTGAAATGTCATGGCCAGAGGTGCAGAAAATTGGGTGTGTTGTTGGGGGCGGGGGTTCCCCCAAAGGAGTTTACCCATGAGGCTCTGATTACTTTAAAATTCTTACTTTAACACAAAATGTGTCTCCAGATTTATTCTGGTGCCTTAACAGACTTTATTTACCTTCTTGTTCTAAAAGAGAGGTGGGGGTGGTTCGGGGTCACAAGTCTCGAAAGACATGAAACATAAATTTAGACTTTGAATGTGTAATATAAAGATTGAAGGTTAAAATGTCAGACATTGCCTGTGTAAGAGTGTTTGTTGCCACGGCTCCTCCTTTGTCCTTCCCCCCTCTTGACAATAGCATCTTGTTCAAAGATAAAAAATTTGGAGTTTTTCAGTCTCTAATTTGGAGAGGCAGGGGGATGGGAGGGGGTAGAAAAGAGAAAACAATTAGTTGGTATGCCTCTAAAACTTTGCAAAGAGATGAATCTAAATAAAAATAATTCTGGGTAACAATATGGTTCTTGAATAAAAAATAAATTTCAGAAATAGAAAACATTGTATTGTAAAGATATTAAATTGAGTTGGTTCATTGGTTTCATTTAAATTCCAGAGATATTATTACTGTAGAGGAAATGTATTATAGCTCTTCTATTTAAACTTTGGTTGGGTTCTTAATTAATTTTTTAAGAGGTAGGGTAATTAAGACTCATGACGAGTGTGACTTTGTAACTTGGAAGTACTATACTCACTTTTCAAGGTATTTAAGGATCGCTTTAGAATAAACAAATATATTATGGAAATTAATTGATTATACCTTTATACACAAAGCATGTAAGTACTTGTGTGAACTTATACTCCACTTGGTGGTGTAAGGAAAGCCTCTGAGTGATTTTCCACACCAGTTAGTAGATGGATAGTGTTGGATGAGAGCCCAACAAATGCTCTTTATTATCATTCTTTAGGATTTCAACACAGTTTATGTATGTCTCATTTGGCCCTTTCCAATACACATAAGGCCTGTGTATGCTCTCCCTATGTACTGTTAATGAAGAAATGAAGATTTAGAGATCTCACATGACTATGGAAGACAGCTACCCAACAGAACTAAGGTTCCATGCCCTCACAATGGCATGGAAGTGACAGATATGCTGAATTTACTTTTTAAAAATTTTAAAAACTCCAGAATACATCTTGTTTGTTGCCTATAAAATAGACCAGTCTTTTAAAATGTACTGCCATGTTGATTTATTTTATGCAAAGTTGATTTTACACAACTCAAACCAACATTTACCTCTTCATTTTTTTTTTTTAATAAAGGAGGGTCTCACTATGTGACTCATGCTGGCCTCAAATTCCTGACCTGAGCTCAAGGGATTTTCCCATCTCAGCCTCGTGAGTAGCTGGGACTACAGGCATGCACCATCTTGCCTTGCTCCATCTTATGTCTATACATTCATTTCAATGAATAAGAATAAAAGTGGAGGTAGCGAGATAGCCTAAATGCAGCAGTCGAATAAAGGAGTTGATAAATTTTTATAAATGATCACATCTTTCTTTTCTCCCTCTATAGGTACATCTTTGGAGTCCAACCCTTCTGCCCAACCAGAGGCAAGCACTATATTCCTGAAGAGCTCTCAAACAGATGGTGAGACAGCATTGTTTTTTCCCACCAAGAAAAAGAGTGAAAACCCTTGTTTGATCAGATGTATTTTAGAAAGAATTTAGAAAAACTCACATTTAAATGTTTCAACTTTTCACGTTTACTTGTCTTATTTTAACATGTGATATACTTTCCTTTAGTTGTTACTGTGTTAGTGAAATCATGTAAACTTCTTGTTTATACATTTTGCCATCTTTTTATCAGCACAATTAATTTGTCATGTGATGGAGGAGTCATAGGTTTATCTTTATTTATAATTCTTTGTCCGTTTTCTCTTAGTCCAAAGAGTACATTTTAAAGATGAATGATAGAACTTAGTCTTCAGCTTGGTTTTCATTTAAACAAGCAAAAAAAAATAGTTGTTCATCATCGGTGATTGAACCTGTGATTTTGGCCTCCTGTTACACAGTGCTCTGACCACATGCGTTTATCACATTCAAGTTTATGCTACTCAAAACGTTTAAGTTATTAACCTTTTCATTTGATGTAATGTAAATTTAAACATGCCCTACTCCTGCTTATTTTCCTTAGTGTTATGATAAATCCTCATTTGTTTGCTAAAAAGCCATACACAGCCAAGTTTTCCAGTTGATTTAAGCAGCAAGAATACAAGTGAGGACCTATAATAATATGGGAAGTAATGCAGCACAGTAAAATATGGGAGTGTGTAACCTTTCTTTTTGTAGTTTGAGTAGACTTTGCCTGTCTCGAGTCAGTTATTTCTGGTTAGAATTTGTGTTCATTTTTGCATAACTATAAAGAGATACCTAAGGCTGGGTAATTTATAACAAAAAGAGGTTTAATTGGCTCATAGATCTTCAGGCTGTACAAACATGGCTTCAACATCTGCTTCTGGTGAGAGCCTCAGCAAGATTACAATCATGATGGAAGGCAAAGGGGAAGCAGGTGGTTCCACACTGTGAGAGAGGGAGTAGAGAGGGGAAAGGGGAAGGTGCCACACTCTTTTAAACTACCAGAATGAGAATTTGCTTGTTACCATGGGGATGACACCAAGCCATTAGTAAGGAATCCACTGCCGTTACCCAAACACCTTCCACTGAGCCCTATCTCCAATCTTAAGGGTCACATTTTAATATTAGATTTGGAGGGGGAACATATCCAATCCATATCAGAATTGTATTTCCCAGTTCCTTCCAGAGGCATGGGCTTTCTACACCTAGAGAGCATGGAAGCAGTAAAACAATAGCTATTCCGTGTCCCTCACTCTTCAGTGGTAGGAATGTTTGCCTGCAAGGCCCTTCCAGCATCAAAGGCAGAGGCAGTGTAGGAAACAAAGCATGGCCCAAGTCCCTGTTGGAACTTTTATTATTCTGGCCTATTTTAAGAAAAAAGTGATTTTTTTTTCTTGTGCGGCAGACACCATGTCCAATTAGGTTTGTATAATAATTTTAAAATTCAAATTTAAGATAGGTTACAGTTGTGTAAAGACCTTTTTTTGTTTTGTTTTGTTTCATTTTGAGTGATATATTAGTAGATGACCACCACTAAGTGTGATTCAAGATGCTTACAGGGATTCTGACGCATCTAGAGATAGGTGCCTGGCCAGCAAGTAGTTCTTACAGCTGTTAGCTCTTAGAGTCTGATAATCAAAGTAAGCTATGTGTAAATGCAGAATGAGAGAATATTAATGGATCATGGATCATATATGCAACAGTTAAACTTTTTTATTAGCTAAATTTTTCATCTGGCCTAATTTTTTTGCCCTTTACTTTTGTACATGAGTATTCTTTCATTTGTATGTAATAGAAACAAAAAACTTTTGACCTAGTTTAAGGTCAAAAAGTAAAACTAAGTTTTTAGATTTTACTTTATGAGATTTATCGTGCTAGATAATTTAAATTATAAATAGCTGAAAATAATTTTTTTAAATGGAATATTTTCTCATTTTACATACGAGTAATCAATAAGATGTTAACAACTACTTTTATTTTATGGTATTTGTATCAGAAGTGACCAGTTTTTTTTCATTCTTAGTACAAGAAAAAAGAAAAAGCAACTATACAAACCATGTAAGTAAACAGTCAAAATGTTAAGAAATTGATAGCTTGACATAAAAGTATGTCTCTCTTGATTCCTTTAAATTATAATAGGTCCCAGTGGTGATAGCATGGAGATCTTTTTGTGGATTTTCTAAATCTCTTTTATTTTCCTAAGTATCAAATTTATCCAGAAAAGTCTTCAGCTTAGTGTGTCTATCTTTTAAGGATTTCTGACATTTAAGTTAAATTTCAATAGTCTGGTTGTGGTATAAAGATCTGCTTTACATATTTAATCTTATGTTTAATGAAATAACAAAAATAGAATAGCTAAATTAACTGTTAGCACTGTCTATTGACTTTCTGTCATAGCAGGTGAAAGCATACCTTCTTCACTACACCATGACCTTATTTTTCTCCCTGTGTTTCTTCCAATTGTAACACATTTTTAAATTAAATCAGTAATACTTACACTATTATGACTATGCAAATTTTTTTCACTGCTTAGTCATTTGGTGTTTTCACTGTGCCTCTGCATTACATATCCTTCATTCTTTCTCTGAAACAGTTTTGAAATCTGAGCACTTCTGCAATTCTCCTAGATCTTCTCTTTTTTCCTAGTCTATGTTAGTTTATCCATCCAAATATAGTAAGTAGCCTCTGTGTGCTCTGTTTGCTTTCACATCCATTATTTTTTAGCATGAAGCTAATTTTCTGATTTTATTCATTTGCCTGTTTTCTAACAGCTGTTTTCCCCCCAAGTGTTGTAGCATTTATCACATGCCTTTCAAAGATATTTTCCACCTGCTAAAACACATCTGTTCCTTTTTTTTGGGGGGCGGGGGTGTTGGGTGACTTTATTTGGCCTTTTGTCATCCTAGTTCAATATAGAGTGCCTTTCCCTAGATATGCTCGATGTCTGCTTTTCTGTGCTAGCTCCTTAAAGTCTTTTGGAATCTCACATAACTGCCGTCTTGTGTGGGATTGCCTGAGTCCTAGATTCTGTTTCCCGCTGTCCTGTTATCCTCTCTAGTTGTACTTAAGCACATTTTCCTGGGTGGAGATGTTTAGAGATCTGGCAGGTCTTAAAATCCCTCCTCTTTGATAGAAAGTAAACCTCTAGGTTGAATCTAAATTTTATGGTTCTGAAGATATTTTGCAATTGTGCTCTCATTAAAGCGTTGCTCTTGAATCTATTGCCATTGTGTGATACATTATTTATAACCACGTTTTAAGTATCTGTGGAGGCTTTTTAGGAGCTTTTCTGTCTCTGAGATTCTGAAATTTCACAATAACAGCTTGGTAAGGATCTTTTCATTTTATTGGGGCTACTAAGTCTGCAGACTATCACTTCTTGAGAATTTTTTAAATTTTCTCTGTTCCTTTTTTTCTGATAGTCTTGTTATTCAGACGCTAGGCTGCTTAGACCAGTATACCTGCATTGGCTTTTAATTTTTCCCTTTCTATTATTTTCAGTTTGTCTTTTTATTCTAATTCTGGGATATTCTGTGACTTTATCCTCTACTATTTCTATTGAATTTTATATTTTTTAAGAGTGTTTTAAGATTTTTAAAAAAGTTTTGCTCATGATTTTGACTGGTCCCATGAATCCCTTTTTTCTGTTGTTTTGATGTCTCTTGTTGGAGGCTTCCCTCCAATGTGTGGTGGTCCCTGGCTTTTTTTATTTGGAAGCATGACTTCTGTTAACTGGTAGCACTCAGTGTGAGGTTTTGGAAGCCAAACTAGTTTCCATTTTGGGGACCTCAGTGTATTATCTGTAGATCTTTATTAGAGACAGTTCAGTTTCTTCTGAAAATGATCTCCCAATTTCCTGCCTGGGAAGTAAAAGCATGGCTACTTGGTTTCCAAAAGCAGAGTTAGGGAAGAAAGTTGGAGTTCCATTTTTGGTTTACAGTTTTCTTGATATTTCAAGTTTAAACCGTGGTATCTCTGAGCCAGAAATTATCAGGTTTGATATATCCAGACAACACACATCTAAGTTTCTTATCAGATGGGAGGACAGGTGGACTTGGGGCTCTGGTAAGAGATTTTCAACTGACCTTGCCGGCGTTTGTTTTACATTTTACCCCACTTTCCAAAGTGCCATTTGCCTCTAAGTTCACAGCCTGCCTTTAGTTCTGCAAGACAAACTACTTTGCTTCTCTTCCAGTCACTTTCTGTAGGCACCAAAGTTGTGCTTTGTGTTATTTACCACTCCTTTATCTACTTTCTATGTCTCAGCATTTATTAAAAATTATCTCTGTCAACCTCCTCTCCTGTTCCTGTGTGTAACCATTATTTTATGACTAATGAGACTTCCAGAGGGAGAGAAAATAAATTTGTGGTCAATCTATTATATTTAATCCAAATTTAGGACCTACATTTAAATGTAAATCAAAGTTTAATTTCAATATAATTAATGATATTAATCCAGACAATTTTTAAAATTATGTATCTATCATAAGCATATTATACTTATCTCCTAAAGCCTTGTTTAATATTTCCATTCAAATTTTATACACTGCCATATGATCCCATTACTTCACAACTTAGATGGAGCTGTTTTCATGAATGCCCAAAGTGTTAGAAATATTTAAGTTAATTAAGATTTGTTTATTTTTAGCCTGGTCAACATAGCAAGAGCTCATCTCTACAAAAAGGTTAAATAACAAATTACCCAGGCTTGGTAGCATGTGCCTTTGGTTTTACCTACTCAGGAGGCTGAGGCAGAGGATTGCTTGAGCTCAGGAGTTTGAGGCTGCAGTTAACTATAATTGCATCACTGCACTCCAGCCTGGGCAACAAAGTGAGACCATGTCTCAGAGAAAGGAAAAAGGTTATTAATTCTTTAAAAACATATCTAAAATTTGTCCTGCCAAAAAGGAGAGATAAAAAGATAAACTTCAGTTTTTATTTTATTTATTTATGTTTGCTGAGAAGAATCCTGTACTTTATTTATTCATTATTTCCATAGGTTTTTTGGGGAACAGGTGGTTTTTGGTTACATGAGTAGGTTCTTTAGTGATGATTTGTGAGATTTTGGTGCATCCATCACCTGAGCAGTATCCACTGAACCCAATTTGTAGTCTTTTATCCCTTACCCTCCTCCCAGCCTTTCCCCTGAGTCCCGAAAATCCATTTTATCATTCTTATGCTGTTGCATCCTCATAGCTTAGCTCCCACATATGAATGAGAATATACGATGTTTAGTTTTTTATGCCTGAGTTACTTCATTTAGAATAATAGTCTCCAGTTCCATCCAGGTTGCTGGGAATGCCATTAATTTATTCCTTATGATGACTGAGTGGTATTCCATTATACATATATATGTATATGTTTATCACAGTTTCTTTATCCACTTGTTGATTGATGGGCATTTGGGCTGGTTCCACATTTTTGTAATTGTAATTCGTAAATTGTAATTTGTTTGAGTTCCTTGTAGATTCTGGATAATAGCCCTTTGTCAGATGTACAGACTGAAGATTTTTTCCCACTCTGTGGGTTGTCTGTTAACTCTGCTGATTGTTCCTTTTCCTGTGCAGAAGCTCTTTAGTTAAGTCTCACCTGTTTGTTTTTGCTGAATTTGCTTTTGGGTTCTTGGTCATGAAGTCTTTGCCTAAGATAGTGTCTAGAAGGGTTTTTCTAATGTTTTCTTCTAGAGTTTTTGTGGTTTCAGGTCATAGATTTATGTTCTTGATCCATTTTGAGTTGATTTTTGTGTAAAGAGAGAGTTGAGGATCCAGTTTCATTCTGCTGCATGTGGCTTGCCAATTATCCCAGCACCATTTGTTATTGAATACACTTTACTTTCTTCACTTTATGTTTCAGTTGGCTTTGTTGAAGATCATTAGCTATAGGTATTTAGATTTGTTTCTGGGTCCTCTATTCTGTTCCACTGGTGTATGTGCCTATTCTTATACCAGTACCATGCTGTTTTGGTGACTATGGCCTTATAGTATAGTTTGAAATCAGGTAATGTGATGTCTCCAGATTTGTTGTTTTTTCTTGGGTTTGTTTTGGCTATGTGAGGTTCTGTTTGGTCAAATATGAATTTTAGGATTGTTTTTTCTAGTTCAGTGAAGAAGGATGGTGGTATTTTGTTGGGAATTGCATTGAATTTTTAGATTGCTTTTGGCAGTATGGTCATTTTCACAATATTCCTTCTACCCGTTCATGAGCATGGGATGTCTTTCCATTTGTTTGTGTCCATGATTTCATTCAGCAATGTTTTGTAGTTCCCAGTGGCATATGAAAAAGATAATCCACCATGATCAAATGGGTTTCATACCAGGGATGCAGGGATGGTTTAACATATGCAAGTCAATAAATGTGATACACCACATAAACAGAATTAAAAACAAAAATCACATGATCATCTCAATAGATGCAGAAAAAGCATTTGACAAAATCCAGCATCGTTTTATAATTAAATCCCTCAGTGAAATCGGCATACAAGCGTTATACTTCAATGTAATAAAAGGCATCTATGACAAACCCACAGCCAACATAATACTGAGCAGGGAAAATTTGGAAGCATTCCCCCTGAGAACTGGAAAAAGACAAGGATGCCCACTCTCGCCACTTCTATTCAACATAGTACTGGAAGACCTAGGCAGAGCAATCACTCAAGAGAAAGCAATAAAAGGCATCCAGATTGGTAAAGAAGTCAAACTGTTGCTGTTTGCTGATGATAATGATCGTATACCTAGAAAACCCTAGACTCCTCTAAAAAGCTCCTAGAACAGATAAATGAATTCAACAATGTTTCAGGAGGGAAAATTACTGTACACAAATCAGTAGCACTGTTATACCCCAACAGCAGCCAAGTTAGAATCATACCAAGATCTCACCCCTTTTATAGTAGCTGAAAAAACAAAATATTTAGGAATAGAAGAAACCAAGGAGGTGAAAGACCTCTACAAGGAAAACAACTTTAGTATTTTTAATGGGTTAAAATGAAAGGCAGCAAGTAGAGTGGAAGAAGTCAGTGGGTGGGCATTGGCGTCCAAAGGGTACTGGACCTTTGATGGCAAGGCTTTGATTTTGAGTTACTAAATTACTAAGTATAATTATTTTCTAGTTTTTGTTATTAAACTGTAAAACTACTAAGTAATCCCTTCCATTTCTTGTTAAAGATCATAAATTTTCATACTCTGATTTATACTGACTGAAGTTAGATTATTTGTTTCTATTTTTGTGATTACTTTTTTAAAATTATACTTTAAGTTCTAGGGTACATGTGCACAATGTGCAGGTTTGTTACATATGTATACATGTGCCATGTTGGTGTGCTGCACTCATTAACACATCATTTACATTAGGTATATCTCCTAATGGTATCCCTCCCCACTCCCTCCACCCCATGACAGGCCCCAGTGTGTGATATTTCCCTTCCCGTGACGAAGTGTTCTCATTGTTCAATTCCCACCTATGAGTGAGAAAATGCGGTGTTTGGTTTTTTGTCCTTGCGGTAGTTTGCTGAGAATGACGGTTTCCAGCTTCATCCATGTCCATACAAAGGACATGAACTCATCCTTTTATATGGCTGCATAGTATTCCATGGTGTATATGTGCCACATTTTCTTATTCCAGTCTATTATTGATGGACATAGGGGTTGGTTCCAAGTCTTTGCTATTGTGAATAGTGCCACGATAAACACAAATAAACACAAAACACAATAAACATGCCAAGAAAACATATATTTAAACAAAAAATATAAAGCACGTGTCTCTCTAGCAACATGATTTATAATCCCTTGGGTATATACCCAGTAAGGGGATCACTGGGTCAAATGGTATTTCTAGTTCTAGATCCCTGAGGAATCGCCTCAATGGTAGATTCTTCCACGATGGTAGAACAAGTTTACAGTCCCAGTAACAGTGTAAAAGTGTTCCTGTTTCTCCACATCCTCTCCAGCACCTGTTGTTTCCTGACTTTTTAATGATCACCATTCTAACTGGTGTGAGATGATATCTCATTGTGGTTTTGATTTGCATTTCTCTGATGGCCAGTGATGATTAGCATTTTTTTTTCATGTGTCTGTTGGCTGCATAAATGTCTTCTTTTGAGAAGTGTCTGTTCATATCATTTGCCCACTTTTTGATGGGGTTGTTTATTTTCTTCTTGTAAATTTGTTTGAGTTCTTTGTAGATTCTGGATATTAGCCCTTTGTCAGATGAGTAGATTGCAAACATTTTCTCCCATTCTGTAGGTTGCCTGTTCACTCTGATGGTAGTTTCTTTTGCTGTGCAGAAGCTCTTTAGTTTAATTAGATCCCATTTGCCAATTTTGTCTTTTGCCGCCATTGCTTTTGGTGTTTTAGACATGAAGTCCTTGCCCATGCCTATGTCCTGAATGGTATTGCCTAGGTTTCCTTCTAGGGTTTTTATGGTTTCAGGTCTAACATTTAAGTGTTTAATCCATCTTGAATTAATTATTGTATAAGATGTAAGGAAGGGATCCAGTTTCAGCTTTCTCCATATGGCTAGCCAGTTTTCCCAGCACCATTTATTAAATAGGGAATCCTTTCCCCATTTCTTGTTTTTGTCAGGTTTGTCAAAGATCAGATGGTTGTAGACGTGTGGTATTATTTCTGAGGGCTCTGTTCTGTTCCATTGGTCTATATCTGTCTTTTGGTACCAGTACCTTGCTGTTTTGGTTACTGTAGCCTTGCAGTATAGTTTGAAGTCAGGTAGCATGATGCCTCCAGCTTTGTTCTTTTGGCTTACGTTTGTCTTGGCAATGCAGGCTCTTTTTTGGTTCCATATGAATTTTAAAGTAGTTTTTTCCAATTCTGTGAAGAACGTAATTCGTAGCTTGATGGGGATGGCGCTGAATCTATAAATTACCTTGGGCAGTATGGCCATTTTCATGAAATTGATTCTTCCTCTCCGTGGGCATGGAATGTTCTTCCATTTGTTTCTGTCCTCTTTTATTTCATTAAGCAGTGCTTTGTAGTTCTCCTTGAAGAGGTCCTTACATCCTTTGTAAGTTGGTTTCCTAGGTATATTATTCTCTTTGAAGCAATTGTGAATGGGATTTCACTCATGATTTGGCTCTCCATTTGTCTGTTATTGGTGTATAAGAATGCTTGTGATTTTTGCAAATTGATTTTATATCCTGAGACTTTGCTGAAGTTGCTTATCAGCTTAAGGAGAGTTTGGGCTGAGATGATGGGGTTTTCTAAATATACAATCATGCCATCTGCAAACATGGACAATATGACTTCCTCATTTCCTAATTGAATACCCTTTATTTCTTTATCCTGTCTGATTGCCCTGGCCAGAACTTCCAGCCCTATGTTGAATACGAGTGGTGAGAGAAGGCATTCCTGTCTTGTGCCAGTTTTCAAAGGGAATGCTTCCAGTTTTTGCCCATTCAGTATGATATTGGCTGTGGGTTTGTCATACATAGCTCTTATTATTTTGAGATACGTCCCATCAATACCTAATTTATTGAGCGTTTTTAGCATGAAAGGCTGTTGAATTTTGTCAAAGGACCTTGTGCATCTATTGAGATAATCATGTGGTTTTTGTCTTTGGTTCTGTTTATATGCTGGATTACGTTTATTGATTTTCGTATGTTGAGCCAGCCTTGCATACCAGGGATGAAGCCTACTTGATCATGGTGGATAAGCTTTTTGATGTGCTGCTGGATTTGGTTTGCCAGCATTTTATTGAGGATTTTTGCATCGATGTTCATCAGGGATATTGGTCTAAAATTCTCTTTTTTGGTTGTGCCTCTGCCAGGCTTTGGTATCAGGATGATGGTGGCTTCATAAAATGAGTTAGGGAGGATTCCCTCTTTTTCTGTTGATTGCAATAGTTTCAGAAGGAATGGTACCATCTCCTCCTTGTACATATGGTACAATTCGGCTGTGAATCAGTCTGGTCCTGGTCTTTTTTTGGTTGTTAGGCTACTAATTATTTCCTCAATTTCAGAGCCTGTTATTGGTCTATTCAGGGATTCAACTCCCTCCTGGTTTAGTCTTGGGAGGGTGTATTTGTCGAGGAATTTATCCATTTCTTCTAGTTTTTCTAGTTTACTTGTGCAGAGGTGTTTATAATATTCTCTGATTGTAGTTTGTATCTCTGTGGGATCAGTGGTGATATCCCCTTTATCATTTTTTATTGCATCTATTTGATTCTTCTCTCTTTTCTTCTTTATTAGTCTTGCTAGTGGTCTATCAATTTTGTTGATCTTTTCAAAAAACCAGCTCCTGGATTCATTGATTTTTTGTAGGTTTTTTTTTTTTTTTTGTCTCTATCTCCTTCAGTTCTGCTCTGATCTTAGTTATTTCTTGCCTTCTTCTAGCTTTTGAATGTGTTTTCTCTTGCTTCTCTAGTTCTTTTAATTGTGATGTTAGGGTGTCAATTTTAGATCTTCCCTGCTTTCTCTTCTGGGCATTCAGTGCTATAAATTTCCCTGTACACACTGCTTTAAATGTGTCCAAGAGATTCTGGTATGTTGTGTCTTTGTTTTTGTTGGTTTCAAAGAACATTTTTATTTCTGCCTTCATTTCGTTATGTACCTGGCAGTCATTCAGGAGCAGGTTGTTCAGTTTCCTTGTAGTTGAGCGGTTTTGAGTGGGCTTCTTAATCCTGAGTTCTAGTTTCATTGCACTGTGGTCTGAGAGACAGTTTGTTATAATTTCTTTTCTTTTACATTTGCTGAGGATTGCTTTACTTCCAACTATGTGGTCAGTTTTGGAATACGTCCGATGTGGTGCTGAGAAGAATGTATATTCTGTTAATTTGGGATGGAGAGTGCTGCAGATGTCTATTAGGTCTGCTTAGTGCAGAGCTGAGTTCAATTCCTGGATATCCTCGTTAACTTTCTGTCTCATTGATCTGTCTAATGTTGACAGTGGGGTGTTAAAGTCTCCCATTATTATTGTGTGGGAGTCTAAGTCTCTTTGTAGGTCTCTAGGGACTAGCTTTATGAATCTGGGTGCTCCTGTATTGGGTGCATATATATTTAGGATAGTTGCTCTTCTTGTTGAATTTCTCCCTTTACCATTATGTAATGGCTTTCTTTGTCTCTTTTGATCTTTATTGATTTAAAGTCTGTTTTACCTGAGACTAGGATTGCAACCCCTGCTTTTTTTTGTTTTCCATTTGCTTGGTAGATCTTCCTCCATCCCTTTATTTTGAGCCTATGTGTGTCTCTGCATGTGAGATGGGTCTCCTGGACACAGCACACTGATGGGTCTTGACTCTTTATCCAATTTACCAGTCCATTTCTTTTAATTGGAGCATTTAGCCCATTTACATTTAAGGTTAATATTTTTATGTGTGAATTTGATTCTGTTATTATGATGTTAGCTGATTATTTTGCTTGTTAGTTGATGCAGTTTCTTTGTAGCATCAATGGTCTTTATAATTTGGCATGTTTTTGCATTGGCTGGTACCGGTCATTTGTTTCCTTGTTTAGTGCTTCCTTCAGGAGCTCTTTTAGGGCAGGCCTGGTGGTGAGAAAATCTCTCAGCATTTGCTTGTCTGTAAAGGATTTCATTTCTCCTCCAATTATGAAGCTTAGTTTGGCTGGATACAAAATTCTGGGTTTAAAATTCTCTTCTTTAATAATGTTGAATATTGGCCCCCACTCTCTTCTGGCTTGTAGAGTTTCTGCTGACAGATCCGCTGTTAGTCTGATGGGCTTCCCTTTCTGGGTAACCGACCTTTCTCTCTGGCTGCCCTTAACATTTTTTTCCTTCATTTCAACTTTGGTGAGTCTGAAAATTATGTGTCTTGGAGTTGCTCTTCTTGAGGAGTATCTTTGTGGCGTTCTCTGTATTTCCTGAATTTGAATGTTGGCCTGCCTTGCTAGGTTGGGGACATTCTCCTGGATAATATCCTGCAGAGTGTTTTCCAATTTTGTTCCATTCTCCCCATCACTTTCAGGTACACCAATCAGATGTAGATTTGGTCTTTTCACATAGTCCCATATTTCTTGGAGGCTTTGTTCATTACTTTTTACTCTTTTTTTCTCTAAACTTCTCATCTTGCTTCATTTCATTCATTTGATCTTCAATCACTGATACCCTTTCTTCGAGGTGATCAAATTGGCTACTGAAGCTTGTGCATTCATCACGTAGTTCTCGTGCTATGGTTTTCAGTTCCATCAGGTCATTTAAGGTCTTCTCTACACTGCTTATTCTAGTTAGCCATTTGTCTAATCTTTTTTCAAGGTTTTTAGCTTCTTTGCGATGGCCTCAAACTTCTTCCTTTAGCTTGGAGAAGTTTGATCATCTGAAGTCTTCTTCTCTCAACTCATCGAAGTCATTCTCAATTCAGCTTTGTTCTGTTGCTGGTGAGGAGCTGCATTCCTTTGGAGGGGGATAGGTGCTCTGATTTTTAGAATTTTCAGCTTTTCTGCTCTGTTTTTTCCCATCTTTGTGGTTATGTCTACCTTTGGTCTTTGATGATGGTGATGTACAGATGGGGTTTTGGTGTGGATGTCTTTTCTTCTTGTTAGTTTTCCTTCTAACAGTCAGAACCCTCAGCTGCAGGTCTGTTGGAGTTTGCTGGAGGTCCACTCCAGACCCTGTTTGCCTGGGTATCAGCAGCAGAGGCTGCAGAACAGCAAATGTTGCTGAACAGCAAATGTTGCTGCCTGATCATTCCTCTGGAAGGTTTTTCTCAGAGAGGTACCTGGCCGCGTGAGGTGTCACTCTGCTCCTTATGCAGGATTCCTCCCAGTTAGGCTACTCTGGGGTCAGAGACGCACTTGAGGAGGCAGTCTGTCCATTCTCAGATCTCAAACTCCATGCTGGGAGAACCACTACTCTCTTCAAAGCTGTCAGACAGTGACATTTAAGTCTGCAGAGGTTTCTGCTGCCTTTTGTTCAGCTATGCCCTCCCCCCAGATGTGGAGTCTATAGAGGCAGGCAGGCCTCCTTGAGCTGCGGTGGGCTCCACCTGGTTCAAGCTTCCTGGCCACTTTGTTTACCTACTCAAGCCTCAGCAATGGTGGGCACCCATACCCCAGCCTCGCTGCTGCCTTGCAATTCAATCTCAGATGGCGGTGCTAGCAATGAGCAAGGCTCCATGGGTGCGTGGGACCCTCTGAGCCAGGCACGGGATATAATATCCTGGTGCGCCATTTGCTAAGACCATTGGAAAAGCGCAGTATTGGGGTGGGAGTGACCCGATTTTCCAGGTGCCGTCTGTCACTGCTTCCCTTGGCTAGGAATGGGAATTCCCTGACCCCTTGTGCTTCCTGGGTGAGGTGATGCCTCTCCTGCTTCGGCTCATGCTCGGTGGGTTGCACCCACTATCCTGTTCCCACTGTCTGACAAGCCCCTGTGAGATGAACCCGGTACCTCAGTTGAAAATGCAGAAATCACCCATCTTCTGCATCACTCACGCTGGGATCTGTAGACTGGAGCTGTTCCTATTCGACCATCTTGGAACCGCCGTGACTACCTTAAATAATACCTATACACAGCAAACTGTTAGTGTTTTTGTTGTAATTAAGTGTAGTAAACTGTACCTTCCAAATTATATCTGAAATAATTTGTCAAACACTTGTTGAAGTTTTTGATTTACTCAAAATTCTATGCTCAGCAGCTGGAGGTAGGAACAGTAAGTGTCCTCCTTTACTCTTATGTAGAGGCATACTTTCTCATGAGGTGAATACTCTTCAAGAATTAGTATCTTGTAGCTAGTGGTGAATTTGACTAATTAGTGTACCAAAAAACATTTTTTGGTGTGGCTGCTGGCAAAGAGATCCAAGAGAGTAGATGGAGTCAAGCTTGCTGAAACAAAGAAAGAGAAAAGCATTATTTTAGGCAGAGAGCAGGGGTAGAGCAGGAAAATGCCTAGGTGCAGGTTAGATGATTTTTATAGAATGATATTAATCAACTTTTGAAATGAATGGAAAGTATTCCCTGAGAGTCTCCTTTGAGTCATGTCATGGCAGTCTTATTTAAACATGAAGTGAAAGTTAAATTTTTTAAATTGTCATTTTTGTCACCTGTTTTCAGGGTGTCAGAGAATATTTAAGTGATACTCTTTTTATCCTCCGCATAAGAAAACAGGACTAGAGAAACCTATGGCTTCCTCACTTGTTGGTGGTCTAGTAGCCCTGGCACACAGAGCCTCTGAATCTGAAACACTTGTTTTGTCACAATATTGCCTGAAATAATACGTTTAGGATTAGTAACTTAGTAAATGCATTAGTCTTGTATTCATTGCAATAAAATGTTCTTGCACCAGTATTATTTAATACATTACATTTTATCATAGTAAATAAATAATAGAAATAGAAGTTCTTGGCTGCTTTATATTGCTGTAGCAAAAAACAATGAAACCTTATTTTAAACTTTTCTCATTATTTATAAATGGAATTCATGAGATCCTTTTTTAGGTTTGATGACAGGTACCATATTAAGGGAAGCATTTTATAACCCATGTCTCCAACACCATCTCTGGAAGTTAAGAGCCTCCAATGTGTTTTCTATAGAGTGCATATGATACCACACTCAGGCAGTTCATGGAGTGTAAGAAATATCTTAGTGTTTTGTCATTTGACATTTTCACCAAGAAAAAATAAACTTTGATAAGTTTAACTTATACTTCCTTTCCCCTTCAGGTATCTACTGAGTATTTTACTCAACAATACAGTTCATGCTCGAAAATATTCCTTGATGACAGCACTGCCAGCCGGCCTCATCCAACAATGACATTAAAATTGTGAGTACAACTATACTGTCAAGGGAGAGACTCCTTTTATTCTAAAAGTATTTCAGCCTTTTGGTTGTACTCTTCTGCAAGCAGTTTAAAAAATTGAAGTCCACTGTATATTGATACCCAGATTATAAGTATCAATTTCTCTTTTAATCTTAGACGTCAGGGTGGAAGGAAAAATCAGTTAGCAAATAAGCAATCCCAGAAAAAGTGCAGCTATTTATTTGATGCCTTTATACCTTAAAACAATGTTGAACACAGTGAGAAGGATAGGTTCCCTTTATTGAATGTCTTTTTGTGAAAAATTAGTTTTTCAATGTGTTACAGGCCTAAATCAATGTGTACTACTTTGGACATTAGTCTTGGAAGAAGGAACAGCTTTTTCTCTTCTGCCACCACCGTGTATCTGCATTTGAGTTTCTCCCATTGTGCATTAACACTTCATGTGCCACAAAGATGTGCTTTGAGAGCACCCTGAGATGAAGTTTATTTTAAAAGGAACAACAACCAACACCACCACCAACTCCATAGAGGCTGTCCAGTGTACATTGTTATAATCTCCTTCGGTTATGAGTCTTATTTTTAAAGTTTGGTAAGTGTTAATTTAGAATATTAATGTGTTTATCTTTAATTTTACTTTTCATCCCATAAATGTAACCAGCTTATAAACAATTTCGTTTTGAATGCACTAGCCTTTTTAGCTAATTCAATCATCAGTAACTTTAACTTTAATTAGAAATGGCAAGTTTACATGCATAATGTCACTTTCCTCCCTTTCTTATAACAATAATTGAGATGAAATTGTGTTTCAGCAAAAACTGGACTCAAACTCTATCTCAAGTCATGAGCTTTGGGACCGAATGAGTAATCACTAAATGTCTGTAGTCAACCAAGTCTCTTAAATGTTTTTTTTTTTTTTTTTTGAGACAGAGTTTCACTCTTGTTGCCCAGGCTGGAGTGCAATGGTGCAATCTCGGCTCACCGCAACCTCTGCCTCCCAGGTTCAAGTGATTCTCCTGCTTCAGCCTCCTGAGTAGCTGAGATTACAGGCACACACCAGCACATCTGGCTGATTTCGTAATTTTTTAGCAGAGACGGGTTTCTCCATGTTGGTCAGGCTGGACTCCAGACCTCAGGTGATCCACCCGCCTCAGCCTTCCAAAGTGCTGGGATTACAGGCATGAGCCACCGTGCCCAGCCTTCTCTTAAATTTTTGAGACACACACACACACACAAACCACAACACCAAAAAGCTTCTTGGCACCAAAAAACACTACTTGGCTACAATCCCTGGCTTCTTTTCAATTGAAAAGATTTTGATGTGTTAGCAACAATTCAAAAGTAGCTTTGAAGGTTAATCTTGCTCAAACAAATTTCATGCTTTTTTCCTCATTATTCTAATTTTTAGGAATCTATTTTGAAAGTAAAGTAAGTTTTAACTCGCCATCAGCAAGTTTGAGTAATGATCATTTGGTATATTTACTATTGGTGAAATAAAGGTTTATTGAGCAAATTAATAGGGCAAATTAGCTTCAAGAAAAGATTTTGAAAACTGTTCATCACGAGTTAGTAGTGCACTGTTGTCAATGGGATAAGTGGAACGCATTGGGATCAGTTTTGCAAAGTTTTTTTCAAAATACATGTCTGCATACACATGTTTCTTCCCATCTCCACTTTCCCTCTATCTCTAGGCACTGAGAAGCCTTTTAGGAAAATAGGGATGGAAGTGAGGCATCTTTATGTGAAGAAAAGCATCCCAGAAGATTCTGATTTTTCACTCCAACTCAATCATTCCAAACTTTTCTGCACATTGAAGTCACCTGGGAAACTTTTAAGAACACCCCAATGCCCAAACTCATACCCAATACTAATTAAATCAAAATGCCTCATGTTGAAATTGAGGCAGTTATTAAAGCTTCTCCGGTGATTTTAATGTGCAACAAAGTTTGAGAGATACTGCCTAATTTGAGTTTAGGTTGAGAAACTGCACCTACTTGGTGGGGCCTTGGACAAATTAGTTTTAAGGTGCATTTTCCTGGGATCTGTAAAATGAGTGTTGCATTAAATGGCATGTAAGGTCATTGGTCCTTTCTAGCATATAACTTCAAATTCTGTGATTTTAAAATGATTTCAGAGATGAAAACTACTTGAAGCACTATAGACATATCCATCTTAAATGCTAATGTCACAGGCTTTTTAAAAAGTGCTAATATTGTATAGACCTATTACTAAAATTGAGATTTGCCTTCCCTCAGTTATTTTGAGCCTCATTCTAGATGCTGAGGGCAAATGGAAGCACATAACTTATGTAAGAGAGCTCCTTGTTTTGTGATACACAGTATCTGTGAGTAACTTAGGAATACAGTTACCTATATCTGAAGAGGTGTATCTGTTCATAAATATTTCAGGTAAACTAGTTGAAGGTACCTGCCATTCACATTACACTGTGTCATGTTACACTGCTTTGTTACCACAGCTTATTTTATTTTAGGATCACTGCACCTATCATTGATTTCCTGTGTGCTTATGTTTACTAATATATTTTTAAATAATTATGCAAAAGTGATTTCAAATAATTTTATTTTTTGTAAAGCACTTTCATTACATTATGTATTTTTAGGGAAATAATTTAAAAATTGGTGGTTAGGGGATAGTGATCTAAACTAAAATGCAGGGTCTAACATCTTAAAAAAGCAACCACTACTCAGTTGAATCAAAAGAATGGTTTAACTCTCTGAGTTAAATCCATAAATCTCCTCAGTTTCACAGATAGCTTCTTCAAGTTTCTATCATGGGATATTAGATATTTCCCCATAGGCCTCAATGGGCTCCCAAATGTTACTTCATAGATCCTCTAAAAAGAGTGTTTTGAACCTGATGAATCAAAGGAAAAGTTCAACTCTGTGAGATGAATCCAAACATAATAAAGCAGTTTCACAGATAGATTCTTTCTAGTTTTTATCCAGGAATATTAGTGTTTTTTTCCATAGGCCACAATGGGCTCCCAATGTCCCTTTGTATATTCTCCAAAAAGTGTTTCCAACCTGCTCAATAAAAAGGGTGGTTTAACTCTGTGAGATGATTCCACACATCACAAGGTAGTTTCACAGATAACTTCTTCCTAGTTTTTATCTGGGGATATTTCGGTTTCGCCCCATAGGCCTAAAAGCGCTCCCTAATGTCCCTTCACAGATTTTCCACAAAGAGTGTTTCCAACCTGGTGAATCAAAAGAAAGTTTTAACTTCAGATAAATCCACACATGACAAAGCACTTTCACAGATAGCTTCCTTCAAGTTTTTATCTGGGATATTCAGATTTTCCCCATAGGCCTCAATGGGATCCCAAATGTCGCTTTGCAGATTTTCTAAAAAAGAGTGTTTCCAACCTGCTGAATCAAAAGAAGGGTTTTGCTCTATGAAATGAATCCACACATCACCTCACTTTCACACATAGCTTCTTTGAGTTTCCATGTTGGGATATTCAGTTTTTCTCCATAGGCCTCAAAGGGCTCCCAAATGTTCCTTCATAGATTCTCTAAAAAGAGTGTTTCAACCTGCTGAATGAAAAGAAAGTTTTAACTTGGTAAGATGAATCCACACATTACAAAGCAGTTTCACAGGTAGCTTCTTTCTAGTTTATATCTGGGGGTATTTGGCTTTTCCACATAGGCCTAAATGGGCTCCCAAGTGTCCCTTAGCATATTCTCCTAAAAGAGTGTTTCCAACCTGCTGAGTCAAAAGAATGGTTTAACTGTGAAATAAATACATATATCACATCAGTTTCACATGGGATATTAGATTTATCCCCATAGGCCTCAAAGGGCTCCCAAATGTTTCTTTGCAGATCCTCTAAAAAGAGTGTTTTCAACCTGCTGAATCAAAGGAAAGGTTCAACTCTGTGAGATGAATCCACATATCACAAAGCAGTTTCACAGATAGCTTTCTTTTTAGTTTTTATCCAGTGATATTAGTTTTTTTTCCCCATAGGCCACAATGGGCTCCAAATTGTCCCTTTGCATATTCTCCAAAAAGTGTTTCCAACATACTGAATCAAAAGAGTGGTTTAACTCTCTGAGATGAATCCACACATAACAAAGTATTTTCACAGATAGCTTCTTCTTAGTTTTTAATCTCGGGTTATTTCGGTTTTGCTCCATAGGCCTTAAAGCACTCCCAAATGTCCCTTCACAGATTTTCCACAAAGAGTGTTTCCAACGTGGTGAAACGGAAGAAAGGTTTAACCCTGCAAGATAAATCCACACATCACAAAGCACTTTCACAGATAGATTCTTTCAAGTTTGTATCTGTGATATTCAGTTTTTCCCAAAAGGCCTCAATGGAATCCCAAATGTCCCTTCACAGATCCTCCAAAAAGAGTGTTTCCAACCTGCTGAATCAAAAGAATGGTTTTACTCTGTAAAATGAATACACACCTCACATCACTTTCACATATAGCTTCTTTTGAGTTTCTATCTTGGGATATTCAGTTTTTCTCCATAGGCCTCAAAGGGCTCCCAAATATTCCTTTGTAGATTCTCTAAAAAGAGTGTTTTCAACTTGCTGAATCACAGGACAGGTTTAACTCTGTAAGATGAATCCACACATCACAAAGCAGTTTCACAGATAGATTCTTTCTATTGTTTCACTGGTGTAATTTGGTTTTTCTCCATAGGCCTCAATGGGTTTCAATATATCCCTTTGCAGATTCTCCTAAATGAGTGTTTCTAACCCTGCTTAATCAAAATAAAGTTTTAATTCTGAGAGATGAACCCACACCTCACACAACTCACAAGGGAGTTTCATGAAGACCTATGTTCTAGTTTTGATCTCAGAATATTCAGCCTTTCCATATAGGCCTCAAACAACTCCCAAAAGTCCCTTTGCAGATTCTACCAAAAGAATGTTTCTAACTTTCTGAATCAAAAGAAAGTTTTAACTCTGTAAGATGAATCCACATATCACAAAGCAGTTTCACAGATAGTTTCTTTCTAGTTTTTATATGGGGATATTCGGTTTTTACTCATAGGCCTCAAGGGGCTCCCAAATGTCCATTTGCAGATTCTCCAGAAAGAGTGGTTCCAATCTGCTGAATCAAAATAAATGTTAAACCCTGTGACATGAATCCACACATCACAAAGCAGTTTCAAAAATAGCTTCTTTCTAGTTGTTTTCTGTGGATATTTCATTTTTACCCATAGGCCTCAATGGGCTCCCAAGTGTTCCTTCACACATTATCCAAAAAGAGTGTTTTCAACCTGCTTAATCTAAAGAAAGGTTTATCTCTGTGAGATGAATCCATGTATCACAAAGCAGGTTAACAGTTTCTTTCTGGTTTTTATCTGGAGATATTTGGTTTTCCCCATAGGTGATAATGGGCTCTGAAAAGTCCATCCACAGATTCTCCAAAAAGAGTGTTTCCCACCTGCTGAATCAAAAGAATGGTTTAACTCTGTGACCTGAATCCACACGTCACAACAGTTTCCCACATAAATTCTTTGGAGTTTCTATTTTAGGATATCCAGTTTTTCCCCATACACCTCAATGGGCTCCCAAATGTTCATTCATAGATTCTGCAAAAGGAGTGTTTTCAACCTGCCGCATCAAGAGAAACGTTTATCTCTGTGACATGAATCCACATATTTCAAGCAGTTTCACAGAGAACTTCTGTCTAGTTTTTTTCAGGAGATATTCCATTTTTTTTTCCTTAGGCCACAATGGGCTCAAAAATTTCCCTTCACATATTCTCCAAAAAGTGTTTCCAATCTACTGAATCAAAAGAATACTTTAACTCTTTGAGATGAATCCACATATCACAAAAGAGTTCCACAGACAGCTTCATTTGAGTTTTTTTCCTGGGGATATTCGTTTTTTTTCCCCCTTAGGTCCCAATGGGTTCCAAAATATCCCTTCAGAGATACTTTGAAAAGAGTGTTTTCAACCTGCTGAATCAAAAGAAAGTTTTAATTCTCTGAGATGAAACCACACATCACAATCCAGTTTCACAGTTTGTTTCTTTTCAGTTTTTATCAAAGGATATTTAACTTTTTCTTATAGGCCTTAATGGGCTCCCATGTGTCCCTTCACAGATTTTCCACAAAGAGTGTTTCCAAACTGCTAAATTGAAAGAAAGTTTTAACTCTGTGGGAAGAATCGACACATCACAAAGCAGAGTCACAGATAGCTTCGTTCTAGTTTTTTTCTGGCGTTATTCTGTTTTTCCCGATAGGCTTCAATGGGTTCCCAAATGTCCATTCACAGATTATCCAAAAAGAGTGTTTCCAACATGCTGAAACAAAAGAAAGGTTTACCTCTGGGAGGTAAATCCACACGTCACAAAGCAGTTTCACAGATAGCTTCTTTCTGGTTTTTACCTGGTGATATTGGATTTTTCCAAATAGGCCACAATGGGCTCCCAAATGTCCATTCGCAGGTTCTCCAAAAAGAGTATTTTCAACTTGCTGGATAAAAAGAAATGTTTAACTCTCTGAGATGAATCAACACATTACAAAGCAGTTTCACAGATAGCTTCTTTCTAGTTTCTATCTGGGAATTTTTCATATTATCATATTGAATTAATTTTTGTATAAGGTGTAAGGGAGGGATCCAGTTTCAGCTTTCTACATATAGCTAGCCAGTTTTCCGAGTACCATTTATTAAATAGGGAATCCTTTCCCCATTGCTTGTTTTTCTCAGGTTTGTCAAAGATCAGATGGTTGTAGATATGCAGCATTATTTCTGAGGGCTGTTATCTGTTCCATTGATCTATATCCTGTTTTGGTACCAGTACCATGCTGTTTTGGTTACTGCAGCCTTGTAGTATAGTTTGAAGTCAGGTAGTGTGATGCTTCCGGCTTTGTTCTTTTGGCTTAGGATGGACTTGGTGATGCGGGCTCTTTTTTGGTTCCATATGAACTTTAAAGTAGTTTTTTCCAATTCTGTGAAGAAAGTCATTGGTAGCTTGATGGGGATGGCATTGAATCTATAAATTACCTTGGGCAGTATGGCCATTTTCATGATATTGATTCTTCCTATCCATGAGCATGGAATGTTCTTCCATTTGTTTGTATCCTCTTTTATTTCATTGAGCAGTGGTTTGTAATTCTCCTTGAAGGGGTCCTTCCCGTCCCTTGTAATTTGGATTCCTGGTATTTTATTCTCTTTGAAGCAATTGTGAATAGGTTTTCACTCATGATTTGGCTCTCTGTTTGTCTGTTATTGGTGTATAAGAATGCTTGTGATTTTTGCACATTGATTTTGTATCCTGAGACTTTGCTGAAGTTGCTTATCAGCTTAAGGAGATTTTGGGCTGAGACAATGGGGATGTCTAGATATACAATCATGTCATCTGGAAACAGGGTCAATTTGACTTTCTCTTTTCCTAATTGAATATCCTTTATTTCCTTCTCCTGCCTAATTGCCCTGGCCAGAACTTTCAACAGTATGTTGAATAAGAGTGGTGAGAGAGGGCATCCCTGTGTTGTGCCAGTTTTCAAAGGGAATGCTTCCAGTGTTTGCCCATTCAGTATGATATTGGCTGTGGGATTGTCATTGATAGCTCTTATTATTTTGAGATAAGTCCCATCAATACCTAATTTGAGAGTTTTTAGCATGAAGGTTTGTTGAATTTTGTCAAAGGCCTTTTCTGCATCTATTGAGATAATCATGTGGTTTTTGTCTTTGGTTCGTTTATATGCTGGATTACATTTATTGATTTGCATATGTTGAACCAGCTTTGCATCCCAGGGATGAAGCCCACTTGATCATGGTGGATAAGCTTTTTGATGTGCTGCTGGATTTGGTTTGCCAGTAATTTATTGAGGATTTTTGCATCAATATTCATCAAGGATATTGGTCTAAAATTCTCTTTTTTGTTGTGTCTCTGCCCAGCTTTCATATCAGGATGATGCTGGCCTCATAAAATGAGTTTGGGAGGATTCCTTCTTTTTCTATTGATTGGAATAGTTTTGTCTCACAGGAGTACCTGGCCATGTGAGATATCTCTTTGCCCCTACTGGGGGGTGCCTCCCAGTTAGGCTGCTCAGGGGTCAGGGGTCAGGGACCCACTTGCGGAGGCCGTCTGCCCATTCTCAGATCTCCAGCTGCGTGCTGGTTGAACCACTACTCTCTTCAAAGCTGTCAGACAGGGACATTTAAGTCTGCTGAGGTTACTGCTGTCTTATTGTTTGTGAGTGTCCTGCCCCCAGAGGTGGAGCCTGCAGAGGCAGGCAGTCCTCCTTGAGCTGTGGTGGGCTCAACCCAGTTCGAGTTTCCTGGCTGCTTTGTTTACCTAATCAAGCCTGGGCAATGGTAGGTGCCTCTCCCCCAGCCTCGCTGCTGCCTTGCAGTTTGATTTCAGACTGCTGCGCTAGCAATCAGCCAGACTCCATGGGCATAGGACCCTCTGAGCCATGTGCGAGATATAATCTCCTGGTGTGCCGTTTTTTAAGCCCACTGGAAAAGCACAGTATTAGGGTGGGAGTGACCCGATTTTTCAGGTGCCATCTGTCACCCCTTTCTTTGACTAGGAAAGGGAACTCCCTTACCCCTTGCACTTCCAGAGTGAGGCAATGCCTCACCCTGCTTTGGCTCATGCACGGTGCACTGCACCCACTGTCCTGCACCAACTGTCTGGCACTCCCTAGTGAGATGAACCTGGTACCTCGGTTGGAAATGCAGAAATCCCCCATCTTTGGCATTGCTCAAGCTGGGAGCTGTAGACCAGAGCTGTTCCTATTCGGTCACCTTCACTTCTTTATAGTTTTTATCTGGGGATATTCACTCTTTTCCCAAAGGCATCATTGGGCTCCCAAATATCCCTTTGCAGATTGTCCATAAAGAGTATTTCCAACCTGCTGTATCAGAAGAATGGTTTGACTCTGTGAGATAAATCCACCCATCACAAAGCAGTTCCATGGAATGCTTCTTTCTAGTTTTTATCTGGGGATATTTGATTTTTCCCCATGGGCTTCAATGGGCTGCAAATATCCCTTCACAGATTATCCAAAAAATGTGTTTCCAACCTACTGAGTTAAAAGAAAAGTTTAACTCTGTGAGATGAATCCACACATCAGAAAAGAGTTTTGCATATAGCTTCCTTCTGGTTTTTATTTGGGGATATTCTGATTTACCAACTGGCATCAATGAGCTCCAAAATATCACTTTGCAAATTCTCCAAAAGAGTGATTGCAACCTGCTGAATCATAGAAAAGATTTCTTCTGTAAGATTAATCCACACATCAAAAAGCAATTTCACAGATAGCTTCTTTCTACTTTTTATCTGGGGATATACAGTTTTTCCCTATAGGTCTCAATGGGCTTCCAAATGTACCTTCACAGTTTCAACAATTAGAGCGTTTTCAACCTGCTGAATCAAAAGCAAGGCTTAAATCAGTGAGAGAAATTTGCACATCACAAGGTGGTTTCACAAATACTTTTTCTAGATTTTATTTGAGGATATTCAGATTTTTCCCCATAGGCATCAAGTGGCTTGCAAATGTCCCTTCACAGGTTCTACAAAAAGAATGTTTCCAGCCTGCTGAATAAAAAAATAAAAAGGTTTAGCTCTGTGAGATGAATCTGCATGTCAAAAAGCAGTTTCACAGTTAGTTTCTTTGTAGTTTTCTTTGATGGGTATCCTGTTTTTCCCCCTAGGTCTCAGTGGGCTCCTAAATATCCACTAGCAGATTCTTCAGATAAAGTTTTTCCAACCTGCAGATTCGATAGAAAGGTTTAACTCTGTGAGATGAATCCACCCATCACAAAGCAGTTTCACAGAAAGCTTCTTTCCAGCTTTTATCTGGGGATATTCATTTTTTCCTATTAGGCCTCAATAGGCTCCAAAATGTCCCTTCACAGATTCTACAAAAGGAGTGTTTCCTACCTACTGAATTAAGGAAAAGTTTTAACTCTGTGAGATGAATCCAACATCACAAAGCAGTTTCACAAGTAACTTCTGTCTAATTATTATCTGGGGATATTTGGTTTTTCCCCATAAGTCTCAATAGCTCCCTAATGACTCATTGCAGATTCAACAATTACAATGTTTCCACCCTGATGAATCACAAGAATGTTTTAACTCTGTGAGATGAATCTGCATATACCAAAGCCATTTTACAAATAGCTTCCTTCCATTAGTTAAGGAGAAATTCTCTTTTTCCCCATAGGTCTCAGTGGGTTCCCAAATGTCCCTTCATTTATTCTCCAAAAATGTGTTTATAATCTGCTGAATTAGGAAAAAGTTTTAACTCTATGAGGTGAATGCATGCATCACAAAGCAGTTTCATAGATAGGTTTTATTTAGTTGTTATCTGGGGATATTCTGTTTTTCCTGTAGGCCTCAATGGGATACAAATATCCATTCACAGATCCTCCAAAAATAGTGTTTCCAACCTGCTGCATCAAAAGAGAAGCTTAACTCCCTGAGATGAATCACAAAGCCATTTCACAGATAGCTTCTTTGTGGGTTTTATGTGTAAATATTCGGTTTTTCCCAATAGGCCTCAATGGGCTCCCCAAAGTCCCTTTGAAGCCTCTACAAAAAAATGTTTCCAACTTGCTGAATCAAAAGAAAGTCTTAAATCTGTGAGATGAATCCACATATAACAAAGAAGTTTCACAGTTAATTTCTTTCTAGTTTTTCTCTGAGGATATTTTGTTTTTCCCAGTAGGCCTCAATGGGTTCCAAAATGTCCTTTTGCAGATTCTACATAAAGAGCTCTTCCAACCAGCTGCATCAAAAGAAAGTTTTAAATCTGTGATATGAATCCACACATAACAAAGCAGTTTCATGGATAACTTCTTTCTAGTTTTTATCTGCAGATATTCATTTTTTTTCCATAGGCCTCAACTGACTTCCAAACGTCTATTTGCACATTCTCCAAAAACAGTATTTCCAACCTGCTTAATCAAAATACAGTCTTAACTCCGTGAGATGAATCCATACATCACAAAGTGGTTTCACAGATAGCTTCTTTCTAGTTTATATCAGTGGATATTCCATTTTTCCCTATAGGATTCAAAGGTCTCCCAAATATGCCATCGCAGACTCTACAAAAAGAGTGTTTCCAACCTGCTGAATCAAAAGAAACATTTAACTCTGTCAGATGAATCCAAACTTCACAAAGCTGTTTAACAGATTGTTTCTTTCTAGTTTTTATCTGGGGATATTCTTTTTTTTTTCATGTACATCAATGGACTCCCAAATGTCCCTTTGCAGATTTTCCAGAAAGAGTGCTTCCAACGTGCTGAATTAAAAGAAAGCTTTAACTCTGTGAGATAAATCCACACATCACAAAGCAGTTTCACAGATTGCTTCTTTCTAGTTTTATCTAGGGATATTCTGTTTTTTCCCATAGGCATCAATTGTCATCCAAATATTCCTTCACAGATTCTTTAAAAAGAGTGTTTCCAACCTCCTGAATCAAAATAAACGTTTACCTCTTTGATATGAATCCACACATCACAAAGCAGTTTCACAAATTGCTTATTTCTAGTTTTTATCTGGTAATGTTCAGTTTTTCTCCATATGCCTAAATGGGCTCCCAGCTGTCCCTTTGCAGATCCTCCAAAAAGAGTATTTACAACATGCTGAATCAAAAGAAAGGTTTATCTCCCTCAGATGAATCCACACATCAAAAGCAGTTTCACAGATAGCTTCTTTCTCGTTTTTATCTGGGGATATTTGGTATTTTAACATTGGCCTCCATTTGCTCCAAAATGACACTTCACAAATTCTCTAAAGAGAGTGTTTCCAACCTTCTGAATGAAAAAAGTTTAACTTTGTAAGATGAAAGCAAACATCACCAAGCAGTTTGACACATTGTTTCTTTCTAATTCTTATCTAGGGATACATGATTTTCACCATAGGCCTCAAAGGGCTTTCAAAGGTCCCCTTGCAGATCCTCCAAATAGAGTGTTTCCAACGTGCAGAATCAAAAGAAAGATTCAACTCTGGAAGAGGAATGCACACATCACAAAGCACTTTCTCAGATAGCTTCTTTCTAGTTTTTATCAAGGGATAATCAGTTTTACCCCATAGGCCTAGAGGGGCTCCCAAATGTACCTTTGCAGATCCTCCAATTAGAGTCTTTCCAACCTGCTGAATCAAAAGAAAAATTTAACTCTGTAAAATGAATCGACACATCACAAAGCAGTTTCACAGGTAGCTTCTTTCTCATTTCTATCTGGGGCTATTCAGTTTTCAACACAGGCCTCCATGGGCTACCAAATGTCATTTCATAGATTTTCCAGTAAGAGTTCTTCCAATGTACTGAATCAAAACAAAATTTTAACTCTGTGAGAAGAATCCACAAGTTACAATACTGTTTCACAGGTAACTTCCTTCTACCTTTTATCTGTAGATATAAGTTTTTCCCAGTAGGTCTCAATGGGCTTCCAAATGTTTCTTCACAGTTTCTACAAAAAGGGTGTTTCCAACCTGCTGAATCAAAAGGAAAGTTTAACTCTGTGAGATGAATTTACACATCACAAAGGAGTTTCACAGATAGCTTCTTTCTAGTTTTTATCTAGTGATATTAGGCACTACACCGTTGGCCTCAATGGGTGCTCAAACATTAATTCGCAGATCCTCCAAAAAGAGTGTTTCCAACTTGCTGAATCAAAAAAGTAGTTTAACTCTGTGAGATGAATCCCCACATAACAAAGCAGTTTCACAGACAGTTTCTTTCTAGTTTTTATCTGGGGATATTCAGATTTTCCCATACGCCCCAATGGATTCATAAATGGCCCATTGCATATTTTCCAAAAAGAGTGTTTCCTGCCTGCTGAACGCAAAGAAAAATTTAAATCTGTGACATGAATCCACACATCACAAAGCAGTTTGACAGATAGCTTCTTTCTAGTTTGTATCTGGGGATATTATTTTTTTCCCAATAGGCCTCACTGGGTTGCCAAATGGCCCTTTGCAGATTCTCCTTAAAGAGTTTTTCAAACCCCTTTAATCAAAAGAAAAGGTTTAACTTTGTGAGATGAATCCACACAACACAAAGCAGTTTCACAGATAGATTCTTTTTATTTTTATCTGGGGATATTCTGTTTTTCCCCATAGTCCTTAATGTTCTCCCAAATATCCCTTTGCAGATTCTCCAAAAACAGTGTTTCCAACCTGCTGAATAAAAGAAAAGTTTTAACTCCGTTAGCTTAATCCACACATTAAAAGCAGTTTCACAGATAGCTTCCTTGTAGTTTTTACCTGAGGATGTTGGGTTTTTCGCCATAAGCCTCAAAGGCCTCCTAAATGTCCATTGACAGAATCTTTAAAAAGAATGTTGCCAACCTGCTGATTAAAAGAAAGGTTTAAATCTCAGATAAATCCAAAAATCATAAAGCAGTTTCACAAGTAGCTTCTTTGTAGTTTTTTTTTTTTCCTGGGCATATTGGCTTTTTCCCCATAGGCCACAATGGGCTCCCAAATTTCTTTTTGCACATTCTCCAAAAACAGTCTTTTCAACTTGCTGAATCAAAAGAAAGGTTTAACCATGTAAGATGAATCCACACATCACAAATCAGTTTCACAGATAGCTTGTTTTTAATTTTTATCTGGGGATATTCAGCTTTTCCCCATAGGCCTTAAATGACTACCAAAAATCCATTCCCAGATTCTCCAAAAAGAGTGTTTCCACCCTGCTGAATCAAAAGACAGTTTTAACTCTGTGAGATGAATATACACATCACAAAGCTGTTTCACAGATAACTACGTTATAGTTTTTTTCCTGAGGATATTTTATTTTTCTCCATAGGCCTCAATAGGCTCCCAAATGTCCCTTCACAGATCCTTCAAAAAGAGTGTTTCTAACGTGCTGAATCAAAAGAAAATTTTAACTCTCTGAGATGAATACACACATCACAAAGCAGTTTCAGAGATGGCTTCCTTCTAGTTTTTATCTGAGGATATTTGATTTTTCGCCATAGGCCCCAAAAGGCTCTCAAATGTCCCTTCACAGATTCTCCAAAAAGTGTGTTTCCATTTTGTAGGTTGCCTGTTCACTCTGGTGGTAGTTTCTTTTGCTGTGCAGAAGCTCTTTAGTTTAATTAGAACCCATTTGTCAATTTTGGCTTTTGTTGCCATTGCTTTTGTTGTTTTAGACATGAAGTCCTTGCCAATGCCTATGTCCTGAATGGTATTGCCTAGGTTTTCTTCTAGGGTTTTTATGGTTTTAGGTTTAACGTTTAAGTCTTTAATCCATCTTGAATTAATTTTTGTATAAGGTGGAAGGAAGGGATCCCATTCCAGCTTTCTACATATGGCTAACCAGTTTTCCCAGCACCATTTATTACATAGGGAATCCTTTCCCCATTGCTTGTTTTTCTCAGGTTTGTCAAAGATCAGATAGTTGTAGATATGTGGCATTATTTCTGAGGGCTCTGTTCTGTTCCATTGATCCATATCTCTGTTTTGGTACCAATAACATGCTGTTTTGGTTACTGTAGCCTTGTAGTATAGTTTGAAGTCAGGTAGCGTGATGCCTCCGGCTTTGTTCTTTTGGCTTAGGATGGACTTGGTGATGCATGCTCTTTTTTGGTTCCATATGAACTTTAAAGTAGTTTTTTCCAATTCTGTGAAGAAAGTCATTGGTAGCTTGATGGGGATGGCAGAAAATTTTCACAACCTACTCATCTGACAAAGGGCTAATAACCAGAATCTACAATGAACTCAAACAGATTTACAAGAAAAAAAAACAACCCCATCAAAAAGTGGGCGAATGACATGAACAGACACTTCTCAAAAGAGGACATTTATGCAGCCAGAAAACACTTGAAAAAATGCTCACCATCATTGGCCATCAGAGAAATGCAAATCAAAACCACAATGAGATACCATCTCACACCAGTTAGAAGGGCAATCATTAAAAAGTCCGGGAACAATAGGTGCTGGAGAGGATGTGGAGAAATAGGAACACTTTTACACTGTTGGTGGGACTGTAAACTATGTTCACCCACTGTGGAAGTCAGTGTGGCGATTCCTCAGGGATCTAGAACTAGAAATATCATTTGACCCAGCCATCCCATTACTGGGTATATACCCAAAGGACTATAAATCATGCTGCTATAAAGACACATGCACACGTATGTTTATTGCCACACTATTCACAATAGCAAAGACTTGGAACCAACCCAAATGTCCAACAATGATAGACTGGATTAAGAAAATGTGGCACGTACACACCATGGAATACTATGCAGCCATAAAAAATGATGAGTTCATGTCCTTTGTAGGGACAAGGATGAAATTGGAAATCATCATTCTCAGTAAACTATCGCAAGGACAAAAAAATCAAACACCGCATATTCTCACTCATAGGTGGGAATTGAACAATGAGAACACATGGACACAGGAAGGGGAACATCACACTCTGGGGACTGTTGTGGGGTGGGGGGAGGGGGGAGGGATAGCATGAGGAGATATACCTAATGCTAAATGACGAGTTAATGGGTGCAGCACACCAGCATGGCACATGTATACATATGTAACTAACCTGCACATAGTGCACATGTACCCTAAAATTTAAAGTATTATAATAAGAAAATAGAAAAGTGTTTCCAACCTGCTGCATGAAAAGAAAGGTTTAACTCTGAGAGCTGAATCTACACATCACAAAGCAGTTTCAGAGGTAGCTTCTTTCTTTTTTATATCTGTGGATATTTGTATTTTGCTTATAGGCCTCAATGAGCTCCCAAATGTTCCTTCACATATTCTCCAAAAAGATTGTTTACAACCTTTTGAATAAGAAGAAAACTTTCACACCATGAGATGAATCCACATATCACAAATCAATTTCACAGATAACTTCATTCTAGTTTCTATCTGGCAATCTTTGGTGTTTCCGCATAAGCCTCAATGGACTCCCAATGTTTCTTCACAGATTCTCCAAAAAAAAAGTGTTTCCAAACTGCTGAATCTAGAGAAAGTTTTAAATTGGTGCGATGAATACACACATCACAAAGCAGTTTCACACATAGCTTCTTTCTAGTTTTTGTCTGAGGATATTTTGTGTTTCTCCATAGGCTTCAATGAGCTCCCAAATATCTTTTCACAGATTGTACAATTAGAGTGTTTCCAACCTGCTGAATCAAAAGAAAAATTCAATTATGTGTGATAGCCACACATTACAAAGCAGTTTCTCAGATAGTTTCCTTCCAGTTTTTATCTGGGAATATTCAATTTTTCCCCATAGGCCTTAATGGCTTCCCAAACATCCCTTCAGATATTCTCAAAAAAGAGTGTTTCTTACCTGCTAAATAAAAAAAAAAAAAAATGTAACTCTGTAAGATGAATGCACACAAGACAAAGCAGTTTCACAGATAGCTTCTTTCCAGTATTTTTCTGGGGATATTCTGTTTTTCCCCATATTCTTCAATGGGCTCACAAATGTCTTTTTGCAGATTCTCCTAAAACAGTGTTTCTAAACTGAGGAATCAAAAGAATGGTTTAACTCTGTGAGATGAATATACAGATACAAAGCAGTTTCACAGACAGCTTTCTTGTAGTTTTTATCTTCGGATATTCAGTCTTCCCTGTTAGGTCACAATGGGCTCCCAAACGTTGCTTCACAGATTCTCCAAAAAGAGTGTTTCCAACCTGTGGAATCAAAAGAGGGTTTAACTCTGTGAGATAAATCCAGCCATCACAAAGCTGTTTCACAGATAGCTTATTTCTAGTTGTTTTTTTTTTTTTTTTTTTGATGGAGTCTCACTGTGTTACCCAGGCTGGAGTGCAATGGTGCAATCTGAGCTCCCTGCAAGCTTTACCTCCTGGGTTCATGCCATTCTCCTGTCTCAGCCTCCTGAGTACTTGGGACTACAGGCTCCTGCCACTACACCCAGCTAATTTTTTGCAGTTTTAGTAGAGACTGGGTTTCACTGTTAGCCAGGATGGTCTCTCTCCTGACCTCGTGATCAGCCAGCCTCAGCCTCCCAAAGTGCTGGGATTACAGGCATGAGCCTCCACGCCTGGCCCTTTTTTCTAGTTTTCATCTTCGGATATTCAGGTTTCCCCGTAGGCTTCACTGAGATTTCAGATGTCCCTTCACAGATTCTCCAAAAAGAGTGTTTCCATCCTGCTGAATTAAATGAAATGTTTATCTCTGTGAGATGAATCCACTTTACAAAGCAGTTTCACAGATAGCTTATTTCTATTTTTTTCTGGCAATATTAATTTTTTCCCCATAGACCTCAATGGGCTCCCAAATGTCCCTTCGATGTTCTGCATAAAGAGTGTTTCCAAACAGCTGAACCAAAGGAAAACTTGAATTCTGTCACATGAGTCTATACGTCAAAATGTAGTTTCACAGAGAGCTTCTTTCCAGTTTTTATCTGGGAATATTTGGTTTTTCGCCATAGTCCTCAAACGGATCATAAATGCCTCTTTGCTGATCCTCCAAAAACAGTGTTTCCAACCTGCTGAATCAAAAGAAAAATTTAACTCTGTGAGATGAATCTATGTATCACAGTGCAGTTTCCCAGGTAGCTTCTTTCTTGTTTTTATCTGGTTATATTTGGTCTTTCCCTATATTGTAAAAGGGCACTTAAAAGTCCCTTTGCAGAGTCTCCAAAAAGAGTGTTTCCAACCTGATGAATTAAATGAAAGTTTAACCTTTCATGAATCCACTCAACACAAAGCAGTTTCATGGATAACTTCTTTCTAGTTTTTATCTTGGGACATTACGTTTTTACCAATAGGCCTCCATGGGCTCTTAAATGTACCTTCCAAGATTCTACAAAAAGTGTGCTTCCAATCTTCTGGATCAAAAGAATGATTTAATGTTATGAGATTTATCCACACATCACAAAGCAGTTTCACAGATAGTTTATTTTCTAGGTTGTTATCTGGGGATATTCGCTTTTTACCCATAGGCCTCAAAGGGCTCCCAAATGTCCCTTTGCAGATTCAACAACTAGTGTGTTTCCAACCTACTAAATCAAAAGAAAGTTTGAACTCTATGAGATGAATTTACACATCATGAAGCAGTTTCACAGATATTTTCCTTCTAGTTTTTATCTGGGGATATTTGTTTTTTCTTCATAGTCCTCAAATGTCTCCCAAATATCCCTTAGTAGATTCTAGAAAAAGAGTGTTTTGAATCTGCAGAATCCAAAGAAAGTTTTAACTCTGTGAGAGGAATCCACACATCACAAAGTATTTTCACAGATAGTGTCTTTCTAGTTTTTAGGTGGGGATATATGGTTTCAACCCATGGGCCTCAAAGGGCTGCCAAATATTCCTCCACAGATTCTCCAAAAAAAAGTTTTTTCAACCTGCTGAATCAAAAGAGGTTTCACTTTGAGAGATGCATCCACACATCACAAAGTAGTTTCACAGTTAGCTTCTTTCTAGTTTTTATCTGGGTATATTCTGTTTTTCTTCATAGGCCTCAAAGAGCTCCCAAATATGTCTTCACAGATTCTACAAAAAGAGTGTTTTTAACCTGCTTAATCAAAAGAAAGGTGAAACACTGTGAGATGAATCCACACATCACAAAGCAGTTTCACAGACAGCTTCTTCTAGTTTTTATCTGGGGATATTTGGCTTTTATCCATACTCCTCATTGAGTTCCCAAATGTTTCTTCACAGATACTCCAAAAAGAGTGTTTTTAACCTGCTGAATCAACAGAAAGGTTTAAGTTTGTGAGACGAATCCACACATCACAAAACAGTTTCACAGATAGCTTCTTTCTAGTTTTTATCTGAAGATATTCGGCTTTACCAAATAGACCTCAATGTGCTCCAAGAGGTGCCTTTTCAAGTCCTCCAAAAGATTATTTTCAATCTGCTGTAACAAAAGAAATGTTTAACTCTGTGTGATCCATCCACACATTACAACACAGTTTAACAGATAGCTTTTTTCTACTTTTTATCTGGGTATATTCAGTTTTCCCAATAGGTCTCAATAGTATTCCAAATTTCCCTTCACAAAATCTCCAAAAAGAATGTTTCCAAACTGCTGAATCAAAAGAAAGATTTAACTCTGTAATACAAGTTCACACATAACAAAGCAGTTTCACAGAATGCTGCTTTCTGGTTTTTATCTAGGGATATTTGGTTTTTCCCCATAGGCTTCAATGGGGTCCTAAATGTCCCTTTGAAGATTATACAAAAAGACTGTTCCCAACCTGCTGAATAAAAAGAAAGGTATAACTCTATGAGATGAAACCACACATCACAAAACATTTTCACAGATAGCTTCTTTCTAGTTTTTACCTGGGGATATTCTCGTTTTACACATTGGCCACAATGGGCTCCAAAATGTCCTTTCGGACATTCAACAATTAGAGTGTTTCTAACCTGCTGAATCATAAGAAAGTTTTAACTCTGTGAGATGAATCCACACATCACAAAGTAGTTTCACAGATAGCTTATTTTTAGTTTTTATCTGTGGATATTTGTTTTTTTTCCAATAGGGTTCAATAGGCTCCCAAATATCCCTTCACAGATTCTATAGAAAGAGTGTTTAAAACCTGTTGAATAAAAACAAAGGTTTAACTCTGTGAGATGAATCTACACATCACAAAGCAGTTTCACAAATAACTTCTTTCTCGTTTTTACCTGGGGTTATTTGGTTTTTCCTAATAGGCCTCAAAAGGCTCCGAAATGTGCCTTCACAGATTCTCTAAAGAGAGTGCTTCCCACCTGCTGGGACAAGAGAAAGTTTCATGGTGATATGAATCCACACATCACAAAGCTGTTTCACAGGGAGATGTTTCCAGTTTTTGTCTCGGGATATTTGTTTTTTTCCCATAGGCCTCAATGGGCTCCCAAATGTCCCATCACAGATTCTGCAAAAAGAAGAGTATTTCCAACCTTCCGAATCAAAAGAAAGGTTTAACTCTCTGAGATTAATCCACACATCACAAAGAAGTTTCATAGACAACTTTTTTCTCGTTTTTATCTGGGGATGTTCAATTGTTCCCCATAGGACACAAAGGGCTCCAAAATATCCCTTTGCAGATTCTACAAAAAGAGTGTTTCCAACCTGATGTATCAACAGAATGGCTTAACTCTTTGAGATGAATCCACACATCACAAAGTAGTTTCACAGATGCTTATTTCTAGTTTTTAATCTGGGGATATTCAGTTTTTCCCCAGAGACCTCAATGGGCACTGAAATGTCCCTCCACAGATTCTCCAAAAGAAATGTTTCCCACCTTCTGAATCAAAAGAAAATTTTAACTCTGTGAGATGAATCCATCTATCACAAAGCAGTTTCACAGATAGATTTTTTTCTAGTTTGTATGTGGGAATATTGTGTTTTTTCCATAGACTGCAAAGGACTTCCAAACGTCCCTTCACATATTCTCCAAAATGAGAGTTTCCAACCTACATATGCAAAGGAAAAATTTAACTCTGTGAGGTGAATCCACATCATAAAGGAGTTTCACAGATAGCTTTTGTCTGGTTTTTATATGGGGTTATTCTGTTTTACTCATAGGCCACAATACATTACAAAATGTCCCTTCACAGATACTCCAAAAAGAGTGTTTCCAGCCTGCTGAAAGAAATGAAAGGTTTAAGTCTGTGAGGTGAAACCACACATCACAAAGTATTTTCACAGATAGCTTCTTTCTTGTTTTCTCTGTAGATATTTTGTTTTACCCCATAGGCCTCAATAGACTCCCAAATGTCCCTTTTCAGATTCTTCAAAAATAGTTTTTCCAACTTGCTGAATAAAAAGAAAGGCTTAACTCTGTGAGATGCACCCACACATCACAAAGCAGTTTCATAGATAGCTTCTTTCTAGTTTTTATCTTGGGATGTTGGTGTTTTCCCAATAGCCATCAATGGGCTCTCAAATGTTTATTTGCAGATTCTATGAAAAGAGTGTTTTCAACCTGCTAGATCAAAAGAAACGTTTAACTCTGTTGGATGAATCCACACAATGCAAAGCAGTTTCACAGAGAGCTTCTTTCTAGTTTTTAATCTGCAGATATTTGGTTTTTCCCTATAGGCCTCAATGGGCTCCAAAATGTACCTTCACAGATTCCACAAAAATAGTGTTTACAAATTGTTGAATCAAAAGAAATGTTTAACTCTGTGAGATGAATCTCACATTACAAAACATTTTCATAGATAGCTTCTTTCTAATTTTTATGTGGGGATATTCAATTTTTCCCCATGGGCTTCAAAGGGCTCACAAATCTCCTTTTGCAGAGTCTCCAAAAGGAGTGCTTCCAATTTGCTGAGGCAAACGAAAGCTTTACCACTGTGAGATGAATCCACACATCACAAATCAGTTTCACAGATTGCTTCTTTCTAGTTTTTATACAAAGATATTCAATTTTTCCCCATAGGCTTCAATGGGCTCAAAAATGTCCCTTCTCAGAGTCTCCAAAAGGACTGTTTCCAATATGTTAAATCAAACGAAAGATTTAACTCTCTGAGATGAATCCACATATCACAAAGAAGTTTCATGGATAACTTCTTTCTACTTTTTCTCTGTATATGTTCAGTTTTTCCACATAAGCCTCAATGGGCTTCCAAATGTCCCTTCCCAGGTTCTCCAAAAAGAGTGTTTCCAACCAGCTGAATCAAAAGAAATGTTTAACTCTGTGATATGAATCCAAACGTTACAAAGCTGATTCACAGGTAGCTTCTTTCTAGTTTTTATATGGGGATATTCTGTTTTTCCCCATAGGCCACAAACAGCTACAAAAGGTCACTTTGCAGATTCGACAAAAGTGTTTCCAACCTGCTGGGTCAAATAAAAGGTTTAACACTGTGAGATGAATCCACACATCAAAAAGCAATTTCACAGATAACTTGTTTCTAATTTTTATCTCAAGATATTTTGTTTCTCCCCATAGGCCTCTATAAACTCCCAAAAGATCCTTCACAGATTCTACAAAAAGAGTGTTTCCCACATGCTGAATCAAAAGAATGGCTAAACTCTGTGAAATGAACCTGCACATCACAAAGCAATTTCAAAGATGGATTCTTTCTAGTTTTTATCTTGGTTATATTATTTTCCCCATAGATGTCAATGGACTAAAAAATGTCCCTTCCCAGATACTCCAAAAAGGGTATTTCCCATCTGCTGAATCAACAGACAGGATTAGCTTTGTGAGATGAATTCACACATCACAAAGGGTTTCAAAGGAAGCTTTTTTCTAGTTTCTATATTAGGATATTTTGTTTTTCCCCATAGGCTTCAATGGGCTCCCAAATGTCCCTTTGCAGATTCCACAAAAAGATTGTTTCCAACTTCCTAGATTAAAAGAAAAATTTAAATTTGTGAAATCAATCCACACATCATGAAGAGGTTTCACATATACTTTCTTTCTACTTTTTATCTGGGGATATTCAGGTTTTATCCAGAGGACTCACAGGACCCCCAAATGTCTTTTCATGGATTATTTAAAAAGAGTATTTTCAACTTACTGAATCAGAAGAAAGGTTTTCATCTATGGGATGATTTTACACATCCCAGAGAATTTTCACAGCTAGCTTCTTTCTAGTTTTTATCTGAAGATATTTGGTTTTTCCCATAGGCCTCCATAGGATCCTAAATGTCCTTATGCAGATTCTCCAAAAACAGTGTTTCCAACCTCCTGAATCAAAAGAAATTTTAACTCAGTGAGATAAATGCACATATCAAAAAGCAGTTTCACAGATAGCTTCTTTCTGGTTTTTATCTTGGAATATATGGTTTTGCCCCAGAGGCTACAAGGCTTTCAAATGTCCTTTTGCAGATTATCCAAAAAGAGTGTTTCTAAGCTGCTGAATCAAAAGAAAGTTTTAACTCTGTGAGATGAATCCACACCACAAAGCAATTTCACCGATAGCTTCATACTACTTTTCATTTGAGGATAATCTGTTTTTCCCCATAGGCCTTGATGGCCTGGGAACTGTCCCTTCACAAATTCTACAAAAAGAGTTTCCAACTTGCTGAATCAAAAGAAAGTTATAACTCTGTGAGATAAATCCACCTATCACAAAGGTCTTTAACAGATAGCTTCTTTCTGCTTTTTATCTTGGGATATACAGTTTGCCCCATAGGCCACAGGGCTCCCAAATGTCCTTTTGCAGATTCTCCAAAAAGAGCGTTTCCAAACTGCTGAATCAAAAAAAAGGTTTAATTCTGTGAGATGAATTCATACATCACAAAGGGGTTTCACAGATAGCTTCTTTCTAGTTTTTATTTGAGGATATGTGGTCCTTCCTCAAAGGCCTCAATGGGTTCCCAAATGTCCCTTTGCAGATGCTACAAAAAACATATTTTCAACCTGCTGAACCAAAAAAAAAATGCTTAACTCTGTGAGATGAGTGCATAGATCACAAAGCAGTTTCAAATACAGATTCTTTTTAGTCTTTATCTAGGAATATTCACTTTTTCCACATAGGCCTCAATTGGCTCACAAATTTTCCTTTACAGATTATCCAAAGAGAATATTTGCAACCTGCTGAAACAAATAAAGGTTTACTCTGTGAGATAAATCCACACATCACAAAGCATTTTAACAGAAAGATTATTTTTAGTGTTTATATGGGATTATTTGGTTTTTCTCCATAGGCCTCAAAGGGCTCCCAAATGTCCTTTCACAATTTGTACAAAAAGAGTGTTTCCAACCTGCTGAATCAAAAGAAAACTTTTACTCTCTGAGGCTAATCCACATATCAGAAAGCAGTTTCTCAGATAGCCTCTTTCTGTTTTTTTTTTTTCTGGGGATTTTTGGTTTTTCCCCTTAGGCCTCAGTGGGCTTCCAAATACTCCTTTGCAGATTCTCCAGTTAGAGTCTTTCCAACCTGCTGAATCAAAAGAAAGTTTTAATTCTTTGTGATTAATTCTTTAATCCACATGTCACAAAGCCATTTCACACATAGCTTCTTTCTTGTTTTTATCTTGGGATATTAAGTTTTTCCCCATAGGCCTCAATGGTGTCCTAAATGTCACCTTGCAGATTCTGTAAATAGAGTGTTCCAACCTGCTGAAACAAAAGAAAGGTTTAACTCTGAGATGAATTTACACATCACAAAGCAGTTTCACAGATAGCTTCTTTCTGGTTTTTTATCAGGAGATACATGGTTTTTCTCCATAGTCCTTAATGTGTTCCCAAATGCCCCTTCTCAGTTTATCCAAAAAGAGTGTTTCCAACCTACTGGATCAAAGAAAGGTTTATCTCTGTGAGATGAATCCACACAACACAAAGCAGTTTAACAGATAGCTTCTTCCTAGTTTTTAATCTGAGGATATTTGATTTTTACTTATAGGCCTTATTAGGCTCCCAAATGTCTTTTCTCAGATTCTACAAAAGCAGCGTTTCCAACCTTCTGAATCAAAGAAAATTATAACTCTGTGAGATGAATCCACACATCACATAGCAGTTTCACAGATAACTTTTTTTTAGTTTTTGTCTGGGGATATTCGGTTTTTTCCCTTAGGCAAGAATGAGCTACCAAATGTCCTTACACAGATTCCCCAAAAAGAAAGTTTACAAACTGCTGAATAAAAAAAAAAAATGTTCACCTCTGTTAGAGGAATCTACAGGTCACAAAGTAGTTTCACAAATAGCTCCTTTCTAGTTTTTATTTGGGGATATTGTCTTTTTCCCCATAGGCCTCAATGGCCTGTGAAATGTCCCTTCACAGATTCTACAAAAAGAGAGTTTCCAAATTCTGTGAGATGAATCCACACATCACAAAGTAGTTTCACAGCTAGCTTCTTTCTAGTTTATATCTAGGGATATTCAGTTTTCTTTCTTAGGCCTCAATGGGTTCTGAAACGTGCCTTTGCTGAGACTCCAAAATGTGTGGTTCCAATCTGCTGAATCAACAGCAAGGTTTAACTCTGTGAGATGAATTCACACACCACAAAGCTGTTTCACAGAAAGCTTCTTTATAGTTTTTTTTTTTTTTCTGGGGATATTCTGTTTTTTCCCATAGGCCTCAATGGGCTCCCAAATGTCCCTTCACAGAATATCCAAAAAGAGTATTACCAACCTGCTGAATCAAATGAAAGCTTTAACACTGTGAGATGAGTCCAGCATCACAAAGCTGTTTTACAGATAGATTCTTTCTTGTTTTTATCTTGAGATATTCTGTTTTTCCCCATAAACTCTATGGGATACCAAATGTTCCTTTGCAGATTCTAAAAAAAGAGTGTTTCCAACCTGCTCAAAGGAAAGAAAGTTTTAAGTCTGTGAGATGAATCCACACATCACAAAGGAGTTTCACAGATAGCTTCTTCCTAATTTTTATCTGGGGATATTCCATTTGTCCCCATAGCCCTCAATGCTCTCCCAAATGTCTGTTCGCAGTTTCTACCAAAAGAGTGTTTCCAAACTGCTGTATCTAAAGAAAAGTTTAACTTCATGAGATGAATCCACACATCACAAAGCATTTTCACACATAACTTCTTTGTAGTTTTTATTTGTGGATGTTCGGTTTTTCTCCATAGACCTCAAAGGACTCTCAAATATCCCTTTGCAGATTCTCCCAAAAGAGTGTTTCCAACCTGATGTTTCACAAGAAAACTTTAAATCAAGAGCTGAATCCAAATATCACAAAGCAGTTTTGGAGGTAGCATCTTTCTTCCTATTATCTGTGGATACTTCTTTTTTTCTTATCAGCCTCAATGGGCTCCCAAATATCCCTTCACAAATTCTACAAAAAGATTGTTTAAAACCTTTTGAATAAGAAGAAAAGTTTCACACTGTGAGATGAATCCATATATTACAAATCAGTTTCACAGATAGCTTCATTCTAGTTTCTATCTGGGAAAATTTGGTGTTTCCCCAAAAGCCTCAGTGGGCTCCCAAATGTTTCTTCACAGATTCTCCAAAATGATTGTTTACAATCTGATGAATCAAAAGAAAGTTTTACCTCTGTGAGATGAATCCACACATCACAAAGCTGTTTCAGAGATTAATTCTTTCTAGTTTCAATATAGGGATATTCTGTTATTTCCCACAGTCCTCAAAGGTTTCACAAGTTTCCCTTTGCAGATTCTCCAAAAAGAGTGTTTTCAATGCTGAATAAAAGAAAGGTTTAAGTCAGTGAGTTGAATCCACACATCAACAAGCAGTTTAACAGATAGCTTCTTTCTAGTATTTATCTGGGGATAATCCATTTTTCCCCTTAAGCCCCAATGGGCATCCAATTGTCCCTTAGCAGATTCTCCAAAAAGAGTGTTTAGAGGCTGATGAAAGAAAAGAAATATTTATATCTGAGATCAATCCACACATCGCAATGCTGTTTCACAGATAGTTTCTTTGTAGTTTTTACCTAGGATTATTCAGTTTCTCCCCATAGGCCCCAATGGGCTCCCAAATATCCCTTTGCAGATTCCACAAAAGGAGTGTTTCCAGCCTGCTGAATCAGCACAAAAATTTGCAGTGTGAGAAGAATCCACACATCACAAAGCAGTTTCACAGATACCTAATTTCTAGTTTTTATCTGGAGATATTCAGTATTTCCCCATAGGCCTATTTCAGTGCCCAAATTTCCCTTCACAGATTCTACAAACAGAATGTTTCCAAACTGTTGAATAAATACAACAGTTTAACTCTCTGATATGTATCCAGCAATCATAAAGCACCTTCACAGTAACTTTCTTAGACCCCAATGGGCTCTAAAACGTCCCTTCACAGAGCCTCCAAAAAGTGGTTTTCCAATCTGCCGAATCATCAGGAAGGTTTAACTCTGTGAGATGAATCCACACATCACAAAGGAGTTTTTGGAAATATGTTTCTAGCTTTTATATGTGAATATTCCATTTTCTCCACTCTCCTTAATGATCTCCAAAATGTCCCATTTCATATTCTACAAAAAGAGTGTTGCCAACCCACAGAATCAAAAGAAATTTTAAACTCTGTAAGATGAATTCACACATCACAAAGCAGTTTCACAGGTAGATTCTTTCTAGTTTTTATATGGGGGATATTTGGCTTTACTCCTTTGGCCTCAATGGGCTTCCACGTGTCCCGTCAGAGATTCTCCAATCAGCGTGTTTTCAACCTACTGAATCAAGAGAAACGTTTACCTATGTGAGATGAATCGACATATCAAAAAGCAGATTCTCTTTATCCAATTTGCCAGTCTGTGTCTTTTAATTGGAGTATTTAGTCCATTTACATTTAAAGTTAATATTGTTATGTGTGAATTTGATCCTGTCATTATGATGTTAGCTGGTTATTTTGCTCGTTAGTTGACGCAGTTTCTTCCTAGCCTCGATGGTCCTTACAATTTGGCATGATTTTGCAGTGGCTGGTACCGGTTGTTCCTTTCTATGTCTAGAGCTTCCTTCAGGAGCTCTTTTAGGGCAGGCCTGGTGGTGACAAAATCTCTCAGCATTTGCTTGTCTGTAAAGTATTTTATTTCTCCTTCACTTATGAAGCTTAGTTTGGCTGGATATTAAATTCTGGGTTGAAAATTCTTTTCTTTAAGAATGTTGAATATTGGCCCCCACTCTCTTCTGGCTTGTAGAGATTCTGCCGAGAGATCCGCTGTTAGTCTGATGGGCTTCCCTTTGAGGGTAACCCGACCTTTCTCTCTGGCTGCCCTTAACATTTTTTTCTTCATTTCAACTTTGGTGAATCTGACAATTATGTATCTTGGAGTTGCTCCTCTCGAGGAGTATCTTTGTGGTGTTATCTGTTTTTCCTGAATCTGAATGTTGGCTACCTTGCTAGATTGGGGAAGTTCTCCTGGATAATATCCTGCAGAGTGTTTTCAACCTTGGTTCCATTCTCCCGGTCACTTTCAGGTACACCAATCAGACGTAGATTTGGTCTTTTCACATAGTCCCATATTTCTTGGAGGCTTTGTTCATTTCTTTGTATTCTTTTTTCTCTAAACTTCTCTTCTCGCTTCATTTCATTCATTTCATCTTCCATCACTGATACCCTTACTTCCAGTTGATTGCATTGGCTCCTGAGGCTCCTGCATTCTTCACGTAGTTCTCAAGCCTTGGCTTTCAGCTCCATAAGCTCTTTTAGGCACTTCTCTGTATTGGTTATTGTAGTTATACATTTGTCTAAATTTTTTTCAAAGTTTTTAACTTCTTTGCCTTTGGTTTGAATTTCCTCCTGTAGCTCAGAGTAGTTTGACCATCTGAAAGCTTCTTGTCTCAACTCATCGAAGTCATTCTCCATCCAGCTTTGTTCCATTGCTGGTAAGGAACTGCATTCCTTTGGAGGAGGAGAGGCCCTCTGCTTTTTGGAGTTTCCAGTTTTTCTGCTCTGTTTTCCCCATCTTTGTGGTTTTATCTATTTTTGTGCTGTATTCAGGAAACCCATCTCACATGCAGAGACACACTTAGGCTCAAAATAAAAGGATGGAGGAAGATCTACCAAGCAAATGGAAAGCAAAAAAAGGCAGGGGTTGCAATCCTAGTCTCTGATAAAACAGACTTTAAGCCAGCAAAGATCGAAAGAGACAAAGAAAGCCATTACTTAATGGTAAAGGGAGAAATTCAACAAGAAAATCAACTATCCTAAATATATATGCACCCAATACAGGAGCACCCAGATTCATAAAGCAAGTCCTGAGTGACCTACAAAGAGACTTAGACTCCCACACAATAATAATGGGAGACTTTAATACCCCATTGTCAACATTAGACAGATCAATGAGACAGAAAGTTAACAAGGATACCCAGGAATTGAACTCAGCTCTGCACTAAGCAGACCTAACAGACATCTACAGAACTCTCCACCCCAAATCAACGGAATATACATTTTTTTCAGCACCACACCACACCTATTCCAAAATTGACCACATACTTGGAAGTAAAGCACTCCTCAGCAAATGTAAAAGAACAGAAATTATAACAAACTATCTATCAGACCACACTGCAATCAAACTAGAACTCAGGATTAAGAAACAACCTACTCCTGAATGACTAATAAAGACGTTCTTTGAAACCAATGAGAACAAAGACACAACATACCAGTATCTCTGGGACACATTCAAGGCAGTGTGCAGAGGGAAATTTATAGCACTGAATGCCCACAAGAGAAAGCAGGAAAGATCCAAAATTGACACCCTAACATCACAATTAAAAGAACTAGAAAACAAGAGCAAACACATTCAAAAGCTAGCAGAAGGCAAGAAATAACTAAAATCAGAGCAGAACTGAAGGAAATAGAGACACAAAAACCCTTCAAAAAATTAATGAATCCAGGAGCTGGTTTTTTGAAAGGATCAACAAAATTGATAGACTGCTAGCAAGACTAATAAAGAAGAAAAGAGAAAAGACTCAAATAGATGCAATAAAATATGATAAGGGAGATATCACCACCGATCCCACAGAAATACAAACTACCATCAGAGAATACTATAAACACCTCTATGTGAATAAAATAGAAAATCTAGAAGAAATGGATAAATTCCTCGACACATACACCCTCCCAAGATTAAACCAGGAAGGAGTTGAATCTCTGAATAGACCAATAACAGCCTCTGAAATTGTGGCAACAATCAATAGCTTACCAACTAAAAAGAGTCCAGGACCAGATGGATTCACAGCCGAATTCTACCAGAGGTGCAAGGAGGAGCTGGTACCATTCCTTCTGAAACTATTCCAATCAATAGAAAAAGAGGGAATCCTCCCTAACTCATTTTATGAGGACAGCATAATCCTCATACTAAAGCTGGGCAGAGACACAACCAAAAAAGAGAATTTTAGACCAATATCCTTGATGAACATTGATACAAAAATCCTCTATAAATTACTGGCAAACCAAATCCCACAGCACATCGAAAAGCTTATCCACCATGATCAACTGGGCTTCATCCCTGGGATGCAAGCCTGGTTCAATGTACACAAATCAATAAATGTAATCCAGCATATAAGCAGAACCAAAGACAAAAACCACATGATTATCTCAATAGATGCAGAAAAGGTCTTCGACAAAATTCAACAAGGTTTCATGCTAAAAACTCTCAATAAGTTAGTAATTGATGGGACGTATCTCAAAATAATAAGAGCTGTCTATGACAAACCCACAGCCAATATCATACTGAATGGGCAAAAACTGGAAGCATTCCCTTTGAAAACTGGCACAAGAGAGGGATTCCCTCTCTCACCACTCCTATTCAACATAGTGTTGGAAGTTCTGGCCAGGGCAATTAGTCAGGAGAAGGAAATAAAAGGTATTCAATTAGGAAAAGAGGAAGTCAAATTGTCCCCGTTTGCAGATGACGTGATTGTATATCTAGAAAACCCCATTGTCTCAGCCCAAAATCTCCTTAAGCTGATAAGCAATTTCAGCAAAGTCTCAGGATACAAAATCAATGTACAAAAATCACAAGCATTCTCATACACCAACAACAGACAAACAGACAGCCAAATCATGAGTGAACTCCCATTCACAATTGCTTCAAAGACAATAAAATACCTAGGAATCCAACTTACAAGGGAGGTGAAGGACCTCTTCAAGGAGAACTACAAACCACTGCTCAAGGAAATAAAAGAGGATACAAACAAATGGAAGAACATTCCATGCTCATGGGTAGGAAGAGTCAATATCGTGAAAATGGTTATACTGCCCAAGGTAATTTAGAGGTTCAATGCCATCCCCATCAAGCTACCAATGACTTTCTTCACAGAATTGGAAAAAACTACTTTAAAGTTCATATGGAACCAAAAAAAGAGCCCGCATCACCAAGTCAATCCTAAGCCAAAAGAAAAAAACTGGAGACATCACGCTACCTGACTTCAAACTACACTACAAGGCTACAGTAACTAAAACAGCATGGTACTGGTACCAAAACAGAAATATAGATCAATGGAACAGAACAGAGCCCTCAGAAATAATGCCACATATCTACAACTATCTGATCTTTGACAAACCTGAAAAAAACAAGCAATGGGGAAAGGATTCCCTATTTAATAAATGGTGCTGGGAAAACTGGCTAGCCATATGTAGAAAGCTGAAATTGGATCCCTTCCTTACACCTTATACAAAAATTAATTCAAGATGGATTGAATACGTAAACATTGGACCTAAAACCATAAAAACCCTAGAAGAAAACCTAGGCATTACCATTCAGGACATGGGCATGGGCAAGGGCTTCATGTCTAAAACACCAAAAGCAATGGCAACAAAAGCCAAAATTGACAAATAGGATCTCATTAAACTCAAGAGTTTCTGCACAACAAAAGAAACTACCATCAGAGTGAACAGGCAACCTACAAAATGGGAGAAAATTTTCACAACCTACTCATCTGACAAAGGGCTAATATCCAGAATCTACAATGAACTCAAACAAATTTACAAGAAAAAAACAAACAACCCCATCAAAAAATGGGTGAAGGACATGAACAGACACTTCTCAAAAGAAGACATTTATGCAGTCAAAAAACACTTGAAAAAATCCTCACCGTCACTGGCCATCAGAGAAATACAAATCAAAACCACAATGAGATACCAACTCATACCAGTTAGAATGGCAATCATTAAAAAGTCAGGAAGCAACAGGTGCTGGAGTGGATGTGGAGAAATCGGAACACTTTTACACTGTTGGTGTTACAGTAAACTAGTTCAACCATGTGGAAGTCAGTGTGGTGATTCCTCAGGGATCTAGAACTAGAAATACCATTTAATCCAGCCATCCCATTACTGGGTATATATCCAAAGGACTATAAATCAAGCTGTTATAAAGACACATGCACACGTATGTTTATTGTGACACTACTCACAGTAGCAAAGACTTGGAACCAACCCAAATGTCCAACAATGACAGACTAGATTAAGAAAATGTGGCACATATACACCATGGAATACTCTGCAGCCCTGAAAAAGGATGAATTCAGGTCCTTTGTAGGGACATGAATGAAATTGGAAATCATCATTCTCAGTAAACTATCACAAGGACAAAAAAACCAAACACCCCATATTCTCACTCATAGGTGGGACTTGAACAATAAGAACACATGGACACAGGAAGGGGAACATCACACTCTGGGGACTGTTGTCGGGGGGGGGTGGGGGTACGGATAGCTTTAGGAGATATACCTAATGTTAAATGATGAGTTAATGGGTTGCAGCACACCAGCATGGCACATGTATACATATGTAACTAACCTGTACATTGTGCACAGGTACCCTAAAACTTAAAGTATAATAATAATAAAATAAAAAAAAAATTCCATCTCAAAAGCATAAATAAATAAAATAAATAAATAGAAAAAAAGATTTCTCAGGTAGCTTTTCCAAGTTTTTATCTGAAGATATTATTTGCTTTTTCACCGTAGGCCTCAATGTGCTCTCTAATGTCCTTTATAGAATTTTACAAAAACAGTGTTTCCAAACTGCTGAATCAAAAGAAACCTTTAACTGGGTAAGATGAATGCACACATCAGAAAGCAGTTTCTTAAATAGCTTCTTTTTAGTTTTCATCTTGGGATATTCACTTTCTAACTATTGGCCTAAGTGAGCTCCCAAATATTCCTTTGCAGATTCTAAAACAACAGTGTTTCCAAACTAAGCTGCAGAATCAAAAGATAGGTTTAACTCTGTGAGATGAATCCACATATCAGAGAGCTGTTTCAAAGAGAATTTCTTTCTAGTTTTTATCTGGGGACATTCACTTCTTTGCAGTAGGCCTCAATGAGCTCCAAAATGTCCCTTCACAAATTCTGCAAAAACAGTGTTTCCAAACTGCTGAATCTAAAGAATGCTTGACTTCTGTAAGTTCAATGCAAGCATCACAAAGCAGTTTCTCAGAAAGCTTCTTTCTAGTTTTTATCTGGGGATATTCTATATTTCACCACAGGCCTCAATGTGCTCCAAAATGTTTTTTTCACAGTTTTTTAAAAAACAGTGTTTCCAAACTGCTGAATCAAAGGAAAGATTTACCTCTGAGAGATGAATACACACATCACAAAGCAGTTGCTCAGATAGCTCCTTTCTAGTTTTTATCTTAGGATGTTTGCTTTTTCACCCTAGGCCTCAAAGCGCCTCAAAATGTCCCTTCTCAGATCCTACAAAACCTGCATTTCCAAACTGCTGAATCCAAAGGAAACTTTAACTCTGTGAGATGAATACACACATCAAAAAGTAGTTTCGCAGATTGTTTCTTTCAAGTTTTTATTGGAAGTTGTATGCTTTTTCACCATAGGCCTCAATACGCTCTTAAAGTCCTTTCTAGGATTCTCCAAAACAGTGTTTCCAGAATGCTAAATCAAAAGAAGTCTTTAACTGTGTAAATTGAATGCACACATCCAAAGCAGTGTCTGAGATAGCTTCTTTTTAGTTTTAATCTTAGGATATTTGCTTTTTCACCATTGGCCTCAATGAGCTCCCATATGTTCCTTTGGAGATTCTAAAACAACAGCGTTACCAAACCGCTGAATCAAAAGATAGGTTGAATGCACACATCACAGAGCAGTTTCAGAGAGTGCTTCCTTGTAGTTTTTATCTGGGGATATTCACTTATTTGCAGTAGGCCTTAATGAGTTCTAAAGTCTCCCTTTGAAGATTCTACAAAAACTGTGTTTCCAAACTGCTGAATCAAAAGAAAGGTTTAACTCTTTGAGATGAAGACACACATCACAAAACAGTTACTCAGAAAGCTTCTTTCTAATTTTTATCTGAAGATATTTTCTTTTTCACCATAGGCCTCAAAGAGATCGGAAATATCCATTTGCAGAACGTACAAAGGCAGTGTTTCCAAACAGCTGAAACAAGAGAAAGGTTTAAGTCTGGAGATGAATGCACACATCACAAAGCAGTTTCTCAGAAAGCTTCTTTTAGTTTTTATCTGAAGATATTTTCTTTTTCTCTGTAGGCCTCAAGTGGTTCTCAATGCCTTTTGCAGATTCTACATAAACACTCTTTCCAAACTGCTGTATAAAAAGAAAGGTTTAACTCTTCAAAGTGAATGCACACATCACAAAGTGGTTTCTCAGATAGCTTCCCTCTAGTTTTTATCCTGGGATATTAGCTTTTTTGCAATTGGCCTCAATGAGCTCCCAAATTTCCTCTTACAGAATGTACAAAAACAGTGCTTCCAAACTGCTGAATCAAAAGAAAGTTTTAATTTTGTGAGATGAATGCACACGTCACAAAGCAGTTTCTCAAAAAACAACTTTCTAGTTTTTATCAGAAGATGTTTTCGTTTTCACCTTAGGCCTCAATAAGCTCCCAAATGTCCATTCACAGAATGTACAAATATACTGTTTCCAAACCACTGAATCAAAAGAAAGGTTTACCTCTGCAAGATGAATGCACACATCAAAATTCGGTTTCTCAGATAGCTTCCTTCTATGTTTTATCTTGGGATATTCACCTTTTCACCACTGGCCTCAATGAGCTCCAAAATGTCCATTTGCAGAATGTACAAAAAGAGTGCTTCCAATCTACTGAATGGACGGAAAAGTTTAACTGTGTGAGATGAATTCACACATCATGAAGCAGTTTTTCAGAAAGCTTCTTTCCAGTTTTTGTCTGAAGATAATTTCTTTTTCACCATAGGCCTCAATGCTCTCCCAACTATCCTTTCTCAGATCCTACAAAAACAGCATTTCCAAACTGTTGAATCAAAATAAAAGTTTAACACTTGGAGATGAATGCATACATCACAAAGCATTTTCTCAGATAGTTCCCTTCTAGTTTTCAGCCTGGAATATTCCCTTTTTTGCCATTGGCCTCAATGGGCTCTGAAATGTCCATTCACAGAATGTACAAAAACAGTGTTTCCAAACTGTTGAATCAAAAGAAGGGTTTAACATTGTGTATCAATGCTCAGATCATAAAGACATATCTCAGAAAATTTCTTTCTAGTTTTTATCTGAAGATGTTTTCATTTTCACAATAGGCCTCAATGTGCTCTCAAATGTCCGTTCACAGAATGTACACAAACAGTGTTTCCAAACTGCTGAATCAAAAGAATCATTTAACTCTGTGAGATCAATGCACAGAACAAAGAAATTTCTCAGAAAGCTCCTTTCAATTTTTTATCTGAAGTTATTTTCTTTTTCACCATAGGCATCAATACACTCCCAAATGTACTTCCACAGATTCTACAAAAACAGTGTTTTCAAATTGTTGAATCAAAAGAGAGGTTTAACTCTGTGAGAGGATGCACACATCACAAAGTGGTTCCTCAGATACTTTCCTTCTAGTTTTAACTTGGGATATTCACTTTTTCACCATTTGCCTCAATGAGCTCCCAAAAGTCCATTTGCATAAGGTCCAAAAACAGTGTTTCCAAAGAGCTAATCAAAAGAAATGTTTACCTCTGTGAGATGAATGCACTCATCACAAAGCAGTTTCTCAGCAAGCTTCCTTCTAGGTTTCAAGTGAAGATATTTTCTTTTTCACTAAAGGCCTCAATGGGCTCCCAAATGTTTTTCATAGATTCTACAACAACGTTTCCAAACTGCTGAATCAAAAGAAAGTTTTAACGTTAGGAGATATACCTAATGCTAAATGATGAGTTAATGGGTGCAGCACACCAACATGGCACATGTATACATATGTAACAAACCTGCATGTTTTGCACATGTACCCTAAAACTTAAAGTATAATAATAATAATAATAACAATAAACATTGAGAGATGAATGCACACATCACAAAGTATTTTATCAGTTATCTTCCTTCTAGTTTTAATCTTGGGATATTCACCTTTTCACCATTCACCTCAATGAGCTCACAAATATCCGTCTGCAGCAGGCACAAAAACCGTGTTTCTAGACTCGTGAATCAAAAGAAAGGTTTAACTCTGTGAGATGAATGCCCACATCACAAAGCAGTTTCTCAGAAGCTTCTTTTTAGTTTTTATTTGTCAATAATTTTGTTTTCACCACAGGCCTCAATGAGCTCTTAAATGTACATTTGCAGAATGTACAAAAACAGTGTTTCCAGACTGCTTAAGCAAAAGAATGGTTTAACTTTGTAAGATGAATGCAAACATCACAAAGTAGTTACTCAGATAACTTCCTTCTAATGTTTATCTTGGGATACACGCTTCTCCACCATTGGCCTCAATGAGTTCCCAAATGTCCACTCACAGAACATAGAAAAAGAGTGTTTCCAAGTTGCTGAATCAAAAGAAGTGTTTAACTCCATGAGATGAAAGCACAGATCACAAAGCTCTTTCGCAGAAAGCTTCCTTCTAGTTTTTATCCTGGGATATTCACTTTTTCACCATTGGCCTCAGTGAGCTCCCAAATGTCCATTAGCAGAAAGCACAAAAATAGTGTTTCCAAACTGCTGAATCAAGGGACAGTTTTAACTTTGTGAGATGAATGGACACATTAACAAAGCAGTTTCTCAGAAAGCTTCCTTCTAGTTTTTATCTTTAAAGATATTTTATTTTTCAACATAGGCCTAAATGCGCTCCAAAAAGTCCTTTTGCAGATATTACAAAAACAGTGTTTCCAAACTGCTGAATCAAAAGAAAGGTTTATGTCTGCCAGATGAATGCATACATCGCAAACCAGTTTCCCAGATAGCTTCCTTGTAGTTTTTATCCTGGGATATTTTCTTTTTTGTCATTGGCTTCAGTGAACTCCCAAAGGTCCATTTGTAGAAAGTACAAAAATAGTCTTTTGAAATTGCCGAATCAAAAGAAAGGTTTAATTCTGTGAGATGAATGCACACATCAGAAGCAATTTCTCAGAAAGCTTCCTTCTACTTTTTATCATAGGATATTTGCTTTTATGCCATTGGCCTCAGTGAGCTCCCAAATGTCCATTTGCAGAATGTACAAAAAAAGCATCTCCAAAATGCTGTATCAAAAGAAAGACTTAACTCAATGAGATAAATGCACATATCACAAAGCAGTTTGTCAGGAAGTTTCCTTCCAGTTTTTATCTGAAGGTATTTTCTTTTTCAGCATAAGCCTCAAAGTTCTCCCAAATGTCTTTTCCCAGATTCTACAAATACAGTTTATTTAAACTGCTGTATCAAAAGAATGGTTTAACTCTGCGAGATGAATGCACACATCACAAAGCAGTTTCTCAGACAGCTTCCTTCTAGCTTTTATCTTGGGATATTCACATTTTCACCACTGGCCTCAGTGAGCTTCCAAATGTCCATTTGCAGAATGTACAAAAACAGTGTTTCCAAACTGCTAAATGAAAAGAAGTGTTTACCTCTGTTAGATGAATGCATACATCACAAAGCAGTTTCTCAGAAAGCTTCTTTCCAGTTTTTATCTGAAGATAAAGATATTTTCTCTTTCACCTTAGGCCTCATTGAGATCCACAATGTCCATTTGCAGATTTTAGAAAAACATTGTTTCCAAAATGCTGAAAGGCAAGAATGTTTTAAATCTGTGAGATTACTTCACACATCACAAAGCAATTTCTTAGAAAGCTTCTTTCCATTTTTTATCTGAAGATATTTTCTTTTTCACCACAGGCTACAATGACCTCTTAAATGTACTTTCACAGATTCCACAAAAACAGTGTTTCCAAACTGTTGGATCAAAAGAAAGGTTTAACTCTGTGAGAGGAATGTACACATCACTAAGTGGTTTCTCAGATAGCTTCCTTCTAGTTTTTATATTGGAAAATTCACTTTTTCACCATTGGCCTAAATGACTTCCCAAATGTCCATTCACAGAATGTACAAAAATAGTGTTTTCAAACTGCTGGATCAAAACAAAAGTTTAACTCTGTGAGTTTAATGCACACAACAAAAAGCAGTTTCTCAGAAGGCTTCTTTCTTGTTTTTATCTGAAGATATTTTCTTTTTCACCATAGGCCTCAATGGGCTCCCAAATGTCCATTAGCAGAATGTACAAAAAAAGTTTCCATACTCCTGAGTCAAAATAAATGTTTGCCTTTGTGAGGTGAATGCACACATCAGAAAGCAGTTTCTCAGAAAGCTTCTTTCTAGTTTTTATCTGAACACATTTTCTTATTTCACAATAGGCCTCAAAGCACTCCCAAATGTCCTTTCTCAGATTCTACAAAAACAGTGTTTCCAAACCACTGAATCCAAAGAAACGTTTAACTCTGTGGGATGAATGCACAAATCACAAAGCGGTTTCACAGATTGCTTTCTTCTAATTTTTGTCTTGGGATACTTTCTTTTTCACCATTGGCCTCAATGAGCTCCCAAATATCCATTCACAGAATGTACAAAAAGAGTGTTGCCAAACTGCTGAATCAAAAGAAATTTTATCTCTGCCAGATGAATGCACACATCACAAACCAGTTTCTCAGAAAGCTTCATTGTACTTTCTATCCTGGGATAGTCTCTCTTTTGCCATTGGCCTCAGTGAGCTCCTGAATGTCCATTCGCAGAAGGTACAAAAACTCTGTTTCCAAACTGTGGAATCAAAAGAAAGGCTTAATTGTGTGTGATGAATGGACATTTCAACAAGCAGTTTCTCAGAAATCTTCCTTCTAGTTTTTATATAAAGATATTTTTTTCACCATAGGCCTAAATGCACTCCCAATTGTCCTTTCACAGATATTACAAAAACAGTGTCTCCAAACTGCTGAATCAAAAGATTCAAATCTGTGAGATGAATGCCCATAACAGAAAGCAGTTTGTCAGGAAGTTTCTTTCTAGTTTTTATTTGAAGATGTTTTATTTTTCACCTTAGGCCTCAATGAGCTCCCAAATGTCCATTTGCAGATTTCAGATAAACATTGTTTCTGAAGAGCTGAATGAAAAGAAAGTTTTAACTCAGAGTAATTCACACATCACAAAGCTGTTTCTTATAAAGCTTCTTTCCAGTTTTTATCTGAGGATATTTTCTTTTTCACTATAGACCTCAATGAACTCCCAAATGTTCTTTCACAGATTCTACAACAACATTGTTTCCAAACTGCTGAATCAAAAGAAAGTTTCAACATTGTGAGATGAATGCACACATTAAAAAGTGTTTTATCAGATAGCTTCCTTCTAGTTTTAATCTTGGGTTATTCACTTTTTCACCATTGACCTCAATTGAGGTCACAAATATCCATCCACAGAATGCGCAAAAGCAGTGTTTCCTAACTCCTGAAGCAAAAGAAATGTTTAACTCTGTGAGGTGAATGCTCACATCACAAAGCATTTTCTCAGAAGTTCTTTCTAGTTTTTATTTGTAGATATTTTTGTTTTCGCCATAGGCCTCAATGAGCTCTTAAATGTCCATTTGCAGAATATATAAAAACAGTGTTTCCAGACTGCTTAAGCAAAGGAATGGTTTAACTTTGTAAGATGAATGCACACATCACAAAGCAGTTCCTCACAAAGCATCTTTCTAGTTTTTATGTGAAGATATTTTCTTTTTCACCATAGGCCTCAATGCACTCCCAAATATCCTTTCACAGATTTTACAAAAACAGTGATTCCAAACTGCTGAATCAACATAAAGCTTTAACTCTGTGAGATGAATGGACACATAACAAAGCAGTTTCTCAGAAAGCTTCTTTCTTGTTTTCATCTAAAGATATTTTCTTTTTTAACATAGGCCTCCAAGTACTCCCAAATGTCCTTTTGCAGATTCTACAAATACAGAGTTTCCAAACTGCTGAATCAAAAGAAAAGTTTTTCTCAGCCAGAGCAATGCACATATCACAAACCAGTTTTTCAGATAGTTTCCACCTAGTTTTTATCCTAGGGTATTTCCTTTTTTGCCATTGGCCAGAGTGAGTTCCCAAATGTTCACTTGCAGAATGTACAAAAAGAGGGTTTCCAAATTGCTGAATTGAAAGAAATGTTTAATTCTGTGAGACAAATGCACACATCACAAAGCAATTTCTCAGAAACCTTCCTTCTACTTTTTAATCCTAGGACATTCCCCTTTTCACCATTGGCCTCAGTGAACTCCCAAATGTCCATTCAAAGAATGTAGAAAAACAGGGTCTCCAAACTGCTGAATCAAATGAAAAGTTTAACTCTGTGAGGTGAACGCACACATCATGAAGCAGATTCTCAGAAACCTTCTTTCTAGTTTTTATCTGAAGATATTTTCTTTTTCACCACAGGCCTCAATGCACTCCCAAATGTCCTTTTGCAGAATCCACACAAACAGTGTTTACCAAATCCTGTATCAAAAGAAAGGTTTAACTCTGCCAGGTGAATGCACACATCACAAAGCGATTTCCCAGATAGCTTCCTTCTAATTTTTATCTTGGGATATTCACTTTTTCACCATTGGCCTCAATGAGCTCTAAAATGTCCATTCACAGAAAGTACAAAAACAGTGTTTCCAAACTGCTGAATCATAAGAAATGTTTAAATCTCTGAAGTGAATGTACACATCACAAAGCAGTTTCTCAGAAAGCTTCTTTGTAGTTTTTATCTGAAGATATTTTCTTTTTCACTTTAGGCCTCAATGAGCTCCCCAATGTCCTTTCGCCGATTCTAGAAAAACATTGTTTCCAAACTGCTGAATCAAAAGAAAGTTTAACTCTGTGAGATGAAATCATACATCACAAAGTGGTTTCTCAGAAAGCTTCTTTCTAGTTTTTATCTGAAGATGTTTTCTTTTTCACCATAGGCCTCAATGAGCTCCCAAATGTCTATTCGCATAATTTACAAAAACAGTGTTTCCAAACTGCTGAATCAAAAGAAAGATTTACCTCTGTGAGTTGAATGCACACATCACAAAGCAGTTTCTTAGAAAGCTTCTTTCTATTTTTTTTATCTGAAGATATTTTCTTTTTCACCATAGGTTTCAATGCTGTCCCAAATGTACTTTTGCAGATTCTAAAAAACAGTGTTTCTAAGCTGTTGAATCGAAAGAAAGGTTTAACTCTGTGAGAACAATGCACACATCACAAAGTGGTTTCTCAGATAGCTTCCATCTAGTTTTTATCTTGGAATATTCACTTTTTCATGATTGGCCTCAATAACCTCCCAAATGTCCATTCGCAGAATGTACAAAAACAGTTTCCAAACTGCTGAATAAAAAGAAAGCTTTAACTCTGAGAGATGAATGCACACATCACAAAGCATTTTGTCAGAATACATCTTTCTAGTTTTTATCTGAATATATTTTTTCTTTTTCACCATAGGCCTCAAAACACTCCTAAATGTCCATTTGCAGAATGTACAAAAAAACTGTTTCCAAATTGTGAATCAAAAGAAAGGTTAATCTATGTGGGATGAATGCACACATAACAAAGAAGTTTCACATAAAGTTTCCTACCTATTTGTATCCTAAGATATTTGCTTTTTTGCCTTTGGCCTTAGTGAGCTCCCAAATGTCTATTTGCAGAATGGACAAAAACTGTGTCTCCAAACTACTGAATCAAAAGAAAGGTTTAACTCTGTGAGATGAAGGCACACATCACAAAGAAGTTTCTCAGAAAGCTTCTTTCTACTTTTTATCTGAAGAAATTTTCTTTGTCACGATAGGCCTCAAAGTGCTCCCAAATGCCTTTTCTCAGATTCTACAAAAAAAGAGTTTTTAAACTGCTGAATCCAATGAATGTTTTAACTCTGTGAGATGAATCCACACATCACGAAGGAGTTTCTCATATAGCTTCCTGCTAGTTTTCGTCTTGGAATATTTTCTTTTTCACCATTGGCCTCAATGAACTTCCAAATGCTCATTGACAGAATGTACAAAAACATTATTTCCAAACTGCTGAATCAAAATAAAATGTTAACTCTTTGAGTTAAATGTACCCATTACAAAGCAATTTCTCAGAAAGCTTCACTCTAGTTTTTATCTGAAGATACTTCCTTTTCACCATAGGCCTCAATATTCTCCCAAATGTTTTTTTCACAGATTCTACAAAAACAGTGTTTCCAAACTGCTGAATCAAAAGAAAGTTTTAACTTTATGATATGAATGCACACATCACAAAGCAGTTTCTCAGAAATCACCTTTCTACTTTTTATCTGAAAATATTTTCTTTTTCCCCATAGGCCTCAATGGACCCTCAAATGTCCATTCTCAGAATGTAGCAAAACAGTGTTTCCAAATTCTGAACCAAAAGAATGGTTTATCTCTGTGAGGTAAATGGAAACATCACAGAGAATTTTTTCAGAAAGCTTCTTTTTAGTTTTTATCTGAAAGTATTTTCTTTTTCAGCATAGGCTTCAGCACACTCTTCAGTGTGCTTTTGCAGATTCTACAAAAAGTAAAAAGAAGATTTCTGACATTGATGCCAATGGCAAAAAAGTGAATATCCCAGGATAACAACTACAAGGAAGCTATCTGATAAACCACTTTGTGGTGTATGCATTCATCTTGCAGGGTTAATCTTTTCTTTGGATTTGGGAGGTTGGAAACACTGTTTTTGTAGAATCTGTGAAGGCACATTTGGGAGCTCACTGTGGCCAATGGCGAAAAAATGAATATCCCAGGACAAAAACCTAAAGGAAGCTATCTGAGAAACCACTTTGTGATGTGTGCATTCATCTCACTGAGTTAAACCTTACTATGATTCAGCAGCTTGGAAACACTGTTTTTGTAGAATCTGCAAAAGAACATTTGGGAGAGCATTGAGGCCTATCATGAGAAAGGAAATATATTCAGATAAAAACTGTAAAGAAGATTTCTGAGAAACTGCTTTGTGATGTGTGCCATCATCTCACAATGTTAAACCTCTTTTTTGATCCAGCAGTTTGGAAACACCGTTTTCATAGAATCTGCGAATGGACATTTGGGAGCTCATTGAGGCCAATGGTGAAAAAGCCAATGTCCCAAGATAAAAACTGGAAAGCAGTTGCCTGAAAAACCGCTTTGTGATGTGTGCATTCAACCTGCAGAGTTAAAACTATCTTTTGATTTAGTATGTTGGAAGCAGTGTTTTTGTAGAATCTGCAAAAGGACATTTGGGAACTCATTGGGCCAATGGTGAAAATGCCAATATAACAAGATAAAAACTAGAAGGAAGCTATCTGAGAAACCACTTTGTGATGTGTGCATTCAACTCAGAGTTAAATCTATCTTTTGATTCAGCAGTTTGGAATCAATATTTTTGTAGAATTTGCGAATGCACCTTTGGGAGATCATTCAGGCCAAAGGTGAAAAAGCCAATATCCCAAGATAAAAACTAGATGGAAGCTATGTGAGAAACCACTTTGTGATGTGTGCATTCAACCTGCAGAGCTAAATCTTTCTATTGATTCTGCAGTTTGGAAACTGTTTTTCTAGAATCTGTGAAAAGACATTTTGGAGTGCTCTGAGGCCTATGGTGAAAAAGAAAATATCTTCAGATAAAAACTAGAAATAAGCCATCTGACATACTGGTTTGTGATGTGTGCATTCATCTCACAGACTTGAACCTTTCTTTTCATTCAGTAGTTTGGAAACACAGTTTTAGTAGAATCTGGGAAAGGACATTTGGGAGCACATTGAGGCCTAAGCTGAAAAAGTAAATATCTTCTGATGAAAACCAGAAAGAAGCTTTATGCGAAAGCGCTTTTTGGTGTGTGCATTAATCTCACTGTGTTAAACCTTTCTTTTGATGCAGCAGTTTGGAAACACTGTTTGCATTCATTCTGTGAAAGGACTTTTGGAAGCTCATGTAAGTCAATGGTGAAAAAGTGAATATCTGAAGATAAAAACTAGAGGGATATATCTGAGAAACCACTTTGTGATGTGTGCATTCATCTCACAGAGCTAAAACTTTCTATTGATTCAGCAGTTTGGAAACACTGTTTTTGTAGAATCTGTGAAAAGACATTTGAGAACCATTTGAGGCCTATGGTGAAAAAGAAAATATCTTCATATAAAAACTAGGAAGATGCTTTCTGACAAACTACTTTGTGATGTGTGCATTCATCTCAAAGAGTTAAACCTTTCTTTTGATACAATAGTTTGGTAACACTGTTTTTGTTTAATCTGGGAAAAGACATTTGGGAGTGCATTGAGGCATATGATGAAAAAGAAAATATCTTAAGATAAAAACTGGAAAGAAGTTTTCTGAGAAACTGCTTTGTGATGTGTGCATTCATCTCACAAAGGTAAAACTTTCTTTTGATTGAGCAGTTTGGAAACACTGTTTTTGTACAATCTGTGATTGGACATTTGGGAGCTAATTGAAGCCAATGATGAAAGAGCATATACCTCAAGATAAAAACAAAAAGGAAGCTATCTGTGAAACCTTTTTGAAATGTATGCATTCATCTCACAGATTTAAACCATACTTTTGATTCAGCAGTTTGGAAACACTGTATTGTAGATTCTGTGAAAGGACATTTTGGAGAGCATTGAGGCCTGAGGTAAAAAAGGAAATATCTTCAGATAAAAACTACAAAGAAGCTTTCCGAGAAACTGCTTTGTGGTGTGTGCATTCATCTCACAGAGTTAAAAATTTCCTTTCTTTCAGCATAGAGGCCTGTGGTGAGAAAAGAAAATATCTTCAAATAAAAACTAGAAAGGAGCTTTCTGAGAAACTGCTTTGTGTTGTGTGCATCTCACGAAGTTAAACCTTTCTTTTGATTCAGCAGTTTAGAAACACTGTTTTTGTACATTTTGTGAGTGTTCATTTGGGGGCTCATTGAGGTCTACGGTGAAAAATAAAATACCTTCAGATAAAAACTAAAAAGAACCTTTCTGAGAAACTGCTCTGTAATGTGTGCATTCATCTCACAGAGTTAAACCTTATCTTGATTCAGCAATTTAGAGACACTGTTTATGTACTTTCAACGAATGGACAGTTGGCAGCTCACTGAGGCCAATGATGAAAAAGAAAATATATTCGGATAAAAACTACAAAGAAGCTTTCTGAGAAACTGCTTTGTGATGTGTGCATTCATCTCACAGAGTTAAAGCTTTCTTTTGATTCAGCAATTTGGAAACACTGTTTTTTACATTATGTGAAAGGACACTTGAAAGTGCATTGAGGCCTATGGTGAAAAATAATATATCTTCAGATAAACACTAGAAAGAATCTTTCTGAGAAATGTTTTTGATGCATGCATTCATTTCATAGAGTTAAAACTTTCTTTTGATTCAGCAGTTTGGAAATAATGTTTATGTACATTCTGCCAATGGACATTTGGGAACTCATTGAGGCCTGTGGTGAAAAATCATACATCCCAAGATAAAAACTAGAGGGAAGCTATCTGAGAAACCACTTTGTGATGTGTGCATTCATCTCACAGAAATAAACCTTTCTTTTCATTTAGCAGTTTGGAAACACTGTTTTTATAGATTCTGTGAAAAGACATTTTGGAGCACAATTAAGACTATGGTGAAAAAGAAATTATCTTCAGATAAAAACTGGAAAGAGTCTTTCTGAGAAACTGCTTTGTGATGTGTGCAGTTATCTCACAGAGTTATTCATTTGATTTAGCAGTTTGGAAACACCATTTTTTTTGCATTCTGGGAATGGACATTTGCGAGCTTATTGAGGCCTATAGTGAAGGCGAAAATATCTTCAGATAAAAACTAGAAAGAAGCTTTCTGATAGGCTGCTTTGTGATGTCTGCTTTCATCTCACAGAGTGAATCCTTTCTTTTCATTCAGTGGTTTGGAAACACTGTCTTTGTATAGTCTGTGAAAGGCCATTTGAGAGCTCATTGGGGCCAAAGGCAAATAAGTGAATATCCCAGCATAAAAACTAAAAGGAAGCTATGTGATGTTGTGGGAAATCAGGGACCCAAAATTGAGGGACGGGCTGAAGCCACAGCAGAGGAACATTAATTGTGAAGATTTCATTTTAATATGGACATTTATCACTTTCAAAATAATAGTTTCATAATTTCTCATGCCTATTTTACTTTAATCTCTTAATTCTGTTATCTTCATAAGCTGTGGATGTACATCACTTCAGGATCATTGTGATGATTGTTTTAACTGTACAAATTGATTGTATAGCATACTAGCAGTGGATATCGATATTTAATACTCCGGGAAAAGAATTGCAATCCTGGGGCGAGGTCTGTAAATGACTGTTCTGTGTCTGCCTTATGCAGTTGAGATAAGGACTGAGATATGCCCTGGTCTCCTGCATTCCCCTCGGGCTTATTAGGGTGGAGAAAACCCCACCCTGGTGAATTTCAGGTCAGACCGGTTCTCTGCTCTCAAACCCTGCTGTCTGTTAAGATGTTTATCAAGGCAATGCGTGCACCACTGAACATAGACCCTTATCAGAACTTCTGGTTTGCCCTTGTCCTGTTTCCTCAGAAGCATGTGATCTTTGTTCTCCTTTTTGCCGTTTGAAGCTTGTGATCTTTGTGACCTACTCACCGTTCATACACCCCTTCCCCTTTTGAAATCCTTAATGAAAACTTGCTTTTTTTTGGCTCAGGAGGGCATCACGGTCCTATCAATATATGAAGTCACCCCTGGAGGCACAGCTGTAGAATTCCTTTCTTTGTACTCTTTCTCTTTTTCTCAGCCAGCCAACACTTAGGGAAAGTAGAAAGAACTTACGTGCAAATATTGGGGGTGGGTTCCCCGGTATGTGGTGCACCAATGTGGTTTTTCTTTTTCCTAAATGCATGTGGCAACCCAATTCCTTTGGTAGGTATGGAGAAATGTTCATTGGTCCGGTCCACAGAAACGCTTGTTTGGCTCCCTGATGTTTGGTAAGTTGACCGTGTATTGTTTGGGGTAACTCTGGATCACATGGAATTTAAACATTATGCTTATCTCTGCTATATTAAACTCATGTTAAAACAGGGTGGGGTTCAGGTGCCCATGGAAAATATGGTCACTCTATTAAGGGCATTGGAAGAACACTGTCCTTGGTTTCCTGAAAAGGGAACATTAGATGTGGAACTATGGGATCATGTTGGTGCAAAATTCTGGGAACTGGTCCCAGCAGAAAATTATGTTCCCATCACTGTTTGGGGTGATTGGGCCTTGGTACATGCCATCCTAATGACATGCAAATCCTGTGACCCCTTGCAGTTACCACAGTTTTCTGAATCTGGCGACCTCTACCTCTTCCTCAGCTTTCCTCTCACAAGTGGCCTTCATTATCTGCTCAGTGTCTCCCTTCACCTACTCGTCCCCCACCTGATGATGTTGAGGATTCAATATCTAACTCTGGTGACTTTGGCTTAACATCACACCCTGATGATTTTATTTCTTTTCATTAAAAATTGATACTTGTATTTCCCATGGCCCTGACTCAGACAGCCCAGGACCATATCTATGCTAACACTTCCCTCTTCAAACCTTTGCAGCCTTTGCCTCCGGAGACACCTAGTGGCTCCAGGGCCAAACTACAATTTACCTGTTATTCTGCAGGCCCTCCCCCACCCACCACTGTCCCTCACCCTCCTGTCATTTCAGTCCCTCAACTGGTCACCTTGCCATCCACTCAACCTGCTTCTCTGTACACTTCTTCATGCATGGTTGCCAATAATCACCAGTATGCTTCTGCCTCTTCTGCCCCTACAATTCACCTTTCTCACACTCTCATATTGTTCTGACTTCCTCAAACTCAGTTTCCCTTATCTACATATGCTTTTTCTGTCACTTCTATACCGACTCCTTCTCATGTGCCTTTTCTTGAAACTTCCATACAACACCTATTATGCCAAAACAAAGAAACAAGTGGATTAGAGACATGGGCTTATCCTGTTGCGCTGGAACCTCCTAACGCTTAAGGGGAACAAGTGCATCAATATGCACCACTCAATCTTACCTTTTTAAAAGAATTCAAGGATGCTTTTACTCAGTATGGTCCTACTTCTTCATATGTTAAAATGATATTACACACTCTTTGTACTAAAGACTTTTTCTTCCTTTAGACTGGGACATTTTGGCAAAAGCTGTTCTAACTCCTTCTCAGCATTTACAATTCTGTACCTGGTGGTCAGAGGAGGTCTGTCTGCAGGCTCAGCTAAATCGGCCTGATGGCATTCTAATTACTCAGGCTCAGCTCACAGGCTCCGATAATTCCTCTGACACTGCCGCTCAATTAGGCTTTGGTGCTCTCACCATGGAACAAGTAACAAAGGTGTGTATGAGAGCTTGGGATAAATTATACACCCCAGGCCAAACTCCTGTTTCTTTTAGTACTGTTAAACAGGGTCACAATGAATTATATCCTGATTTTCTGGCTAAATTACAAGATGCTGTTGAAAAATCTGTCTCTGAAGAGAATGTTCAAGGTATTTCCCTTTGCATGTCAGGTGTTGAAAATGTGGACCATGAATGTAAAATGGCCATGTGTTCCATCCAACGTTAAATTTACCTGATCACGAATTGTTGCCTGCATATATTAAGGCTTGTGAAGGCATGGAATCAGAGACCCACAAAGCTATTCTATGGGCACTGGCCATGAAGGATGCCAATCAAAGTGGCTCAACTGATTCTTTACTTGGAGCCTGCTATAATTGTGCTCAAATTGGTCTACTCAATAAAATTGCACTGTTAAAAACTTAAAAGTGGCCAAGCTGGCTCAAAAAACATGGCCAAATGCTGCTCCTACTGTTTGCCTGCATTGTCATAAGGTTAAACAGTGGGTAAGTACTTGCTGCTCTAAGTCTGATATAGATGGCAATCCCCTGCCACAGAACCAGGGAAACGGGAAGTGGGGCCAGTCCCAGGAGCCAATATCAAATAGGACACCTCAGACTCAGACCAATGTTGCATTTCCACTTCAAGTGGTCCCAATGCAGCCCCCAGCACAAACAAGTTTATATGCAGCCAAGCCAGATTGGCCCCAGCCTCTTCTTTTGTCTCTGTACAAAGCTTGTCCACATCCACAGTAGAGGGTGGGGCAGTCAATCTCTGTAGTACCATCCCTTTAAATTTACTACCTAATTCTTTGCCATTAATTGTCCCCACTGGGGTCACTGGCCCTTTATCTCAAGGTTCGGTGGGCCTGATATTAGGTAGGGCATCCACCTCTGCTAAAGGTATCACTCATCATACTGGCCTCATTAATTCTGATTCCTCTGATGACATTAACCTTATATTGTGCGCCAAGGTTCTTGTTTCCATTCTGGCCAGTGAGTCAATTGCTCAATTACTTTTATTACATAATATTGTTTTAAACAAGGGAGATAAGTCATGGGGCCCTGGAATGGGCTATGGCGGTGAAAAACCTGCTTAATGGATTAATGTAATTTCTAAACCATGGGCCACCTGCACCATACACATTCAAAGAAAAAAGTTTGAGGGCCTAGTAGATACTGGGGCTGATGTTTCTATTATTTCCTCTAATTTACAGCCTTCCTCTGGGCTTAAACATCTTGCCAACATGGGAGTAATAGGTGTTGGAAAGGCTGATGAAGTTCACCAGAGCACATTTATCTTGCCTTGCACTGGCCATGATGGTCAAAATGGTCCAATTTAGCCTTATATCACGCCAATCCCCATCAATCTTTGGGGTAGAGATTTGCTGGCACAATGGGGGGCTGAAATTAATATTCCACATAACTCTTATAGTGCTCCCAGTCAACATATAATGGAAAACATGGGGTTTGTTCCCAGACTAGGTCTTGGTCAAAAACATGAAGGAATTATTAAACCCCTTCAAGTTACTTTAAAAGAGGACAGGGTTGGTTTAGATCATCCTTTTTAATGGCAGCCACTCACAAACCTCCTAATCTTATTCCTTTACAATGGAAATTGGAAACACCTGCTTGAATTGAGCAGTGGCCACTCTCTAAAGAAAAACTGGAGGCTTCAACTCAATGGGTTTCTGAACAGTTACTACTTGGAAATGTGGAATGTTCTCTTCCCCTCCTGGAATTCTTCTATGTTTCTAGTAAAAAAGAAATCAGGCAACTGGCCAATGATAACTGATTTAAGGTCCATTAATGCTGTAATTAAACCTATGGGAGCAGTCCAACCTGGCATGCCTGCCGCTGCTTTAATACCTAAAAATTGGCCTCTCATAGTTATTGGTCTTAAAGATTGCTTTTTTCATATTGCTTTGCATGAATTGGATTGTAAATTTTTGCCTTTACTTTTCCATCTATCAATAATCAGGAGCCTGCAGCTCATTATCAATGGAAAGTACTTCATCAGGGAATGCTGAATAGCCCTACTATCTGCAAGATTTATGTTGGACAGGTGCTTTCACCAGTTCGAGCTCAATTTCAACAGGCTGATATTCTTCACTATATTGATGATATATTAATTTTTGCCTCCATTGATAAACAATTAATTGACTGTTATCAATTTTGGAGCCACCATGTTATAGAGGCTGGATTACACATCACTCAGGATAAAATTCAACAGTCCACTCCTGTTCAATATTTTGGAATGCTGGTCGATAAGAATGTATTCAACCTCAAAAAGTTCAGATTAGGAGAGTTTCTTTGAAAATCTTAAATGATTTCCAAAAACCATTGGGTAACAATCATTATTGAAGACCTACTTTAGGCATTCCAACAACATATGTGCTGTCTAACTTGTTTTCTATGCTTCGTGGAGATTCCAATCTCCACAGTCCCAGGACTTGCACCCCTGAGGCTTCACTTGAATTGCAATTCATAGAATAAAAAATCCAAACTGCTCAATTGTCTAGGGTACAGCCGTCTCAGCCTTTTCATGTTCTGGTTTTTGCTTCATTGCACTCCCCTACTGGGCTAATAGTTCAATGTAATGATTTAGTGGAGTGGTGTTTTCTTCCTCATTTGGTTTCAAAAACTTTGTCCGCTTATCTGGACAAAATGTCCACCCTAATTGGACAAGTTCAGTTTAGAATACTTAAACTTTCTGGATTTGATCCAAATTTAATTGTGGTTCCTTCAAATTGGCTCGAAGTTCAAGCTGCTTTTCAACATTCCATACTGTGGCAAATTCACTTGGCTGATTTTATTGGTTATTGACAGTCATTATCCAAAAAACAAATTGTTTGATTTTATAAAAATGACTTATTGGGTGGTCCCTTGATTGACCAAAAACCAGCCCATTCCTGAGGCTGTTGCAGTGTTCACTGATGGCTCCAGTAATGGAAATGCTTGTTAAGTGAGTCCTACAGACAAGCTTATTTCTACCCCTTACACCTCTTCTCAAAAAGCAGAGTTAATTACTGTAATTACTGCCTTACAAGATTTCCCCAAACCTTTAAATATTCTCTCTGATTCTGCTTATGTTGTACTTCCCACTAAAAATGTAGAAACCGCTACTGTCAAACATATTGATAATTCTGAATTGGCTTCTTTATTTTCAAGATTACAACAGGTGGTTTTCCAACATAGACATCCTTTCTATATTACACATATTAGATCTCATACTACTTTACCAGGACCCATGTCTACAGGTAAACATAAAGTCGAGTGTTTGGTCTCTTTTGCAACCCAAGAAGCTCAGGAGTTCCATAATCTCTCTCATGTCAATGTTATGGATTAAAAGATAAATTTGCTCTCACCTGGAAGGAGGCTAAGCTTATTGTCAACTGCTTCCCTCAGTGCCAAGTTTTTATACTTCCAAATCAGGAACATGGTGTTAATCCCACAGGCCTAACTCCTAATGATTTGTGGCAAATGGATGTGTATCATGTTAGCTCCTTTGGCAGATTTTCATATGTGCATGTTTCCGTAGACATCTTTTCAGGCTTTACCTGGGCTACTTGCCAAACAGAGGAAGGCATGGCCCATATTAAAAGACATCTGTATCCTTGCTTTGCAGTTATGGGGCTTCCATATCAAATAAAACCAGACAGCACCCCTAGATATGTGAGTAAGGCTTTTGATTTATTTATGCAACAGTGGGGAATTTCCTGTATTACCGGAATCCCTTACAATCTTCAGGGAAAGGCTCTGGTGGAAAGGGTCAATCACACTTTAAAAACTCAATTGTCCAAAGAGTCTGAACAACAAAAGCATAATTTAATCACTCCCCACTCCCAATTATATTTAGCATTGTTTTCTTTAAACTTTCTAAATGTTCCTAAAGACAATACTCTGATTGCAGCTGAATGCCATTATACAGGCAAAAAATTCTCCCTAAATGAAGGACAAGCCAGTCTTATTGAAAAACTCCCAGGCCAATACCTGGGAACCTGGAAAAATTATAACGTGGGGAAGAGGGTATGCTTGTATTTTACCAGGAGATCATCAGTCCCCTGTCTGGGTGCCTACTAGGAGACTTAAACTTCCTGTGAATTTTGACTATAAAAACCACAGGGAAAAGACGTCCACGCCAGAGGTCACCATCGTATCTGGTGAGATCTGAACCAACTCCTCAAAGTCTGGCATGCCAAATCAAAATTTATCTGGTTCAATCCTCCCTAATGGCAACGGAGACCCATCTAACTAATCCCACTTCTCCTAAACCTAAAAATCTCACCATTCTATTTGCCTGAAAATAACATCCTTCTGTTCTTCTCTTCCTTCTTCAGCACTGGATCTCACTTACTATAGGTTTTATTTAGTAATTCTCCTCCTTATATTTTCTGTCTCAGCAGGTTCCCCTCACAATGATGTACCTGCTACACAAAATTACTCTTAATGGGTTTATGTGCCTTTTCCTCTACTTATTCGTCCTCTCACCTGGATGGATACTCCTGTGAAAATCTATACTAATGATAGTGTGTGGATGCCTGGACCTACAGATGACCGTTTCACCTTTCAACCAGGAGAAGAAGGCACTGCATTTAATGTTACTATGGGTTATATATACCCTCCCATTTGCCTCAGACATGCACCTGGTTGCATCCATCTAGAAACTCAAGTCTGGGCTGCTGATCTTCTGGAGAGATTAACTACAAAGGAACAGGGACATTTTGTCTCTGGTCTCTCCCTTTCTCCTTTAATACAAATGAAAAGGGGAATAATAGGATATACTCCATACTTTCAATATAAACATGTAGGAAAACCGTGTCCTAAAAATTTTGAGGGCCCAACTAAAACTTTAATTTGGGAAGATTGTGTTAAGTCACATGCAGTAGTATTAAAGAATGACTCATATGGTTTAGTAATAGACTGGACACCAAAGGGCTGTTTAAAAAACAATTGCTCCTCTGGCAGAAGGGAATTCCTGGAGGCTACTTATTTTATTTCTTATTGGGAGGACGGGATCATCATCTTCCTTTGCATAGGAGGTTCGGCCCTTTCTTACCCTTAAAATGGGAAGATAAGGGCTTTACCCCCTACCCAAGGCCTCATATGCTATTCCCCATTCTGAGCCCATAACACTCAGAATTTTGGAAATCGGCTATTGCCATGTCCGCCGGACTGTGAGTAAAGGAAGGGGAAAGGTTTCTGTCTGTTGTCCCCACTACTGTCCCTCACATTCATGATTCTGAACCCCATGGTAAATCCCCTTTGAGCTCTTTTCTTCTTTTTGACACCAGTCCTCCTTTGTGGACTCCAATTGGCATTATGATAACTCTTCTCGACCAACGTATGCCCCTCTACCTCTTTGGCATTCCCAGGCACCTCAGAATACTTCTTTATCGCAGAGAACATTGGGCATTGCCACTGCCACTCCTCTCCCTCAGTAACAAAATAGATTCAGACATTCTGCTTCTTTTACCTCCAACCTGACTATTACTATACAGAGTTGCGTTAGACCTCCTTACATGCTGTTAGTGGGAAATATCAAAATTTGGCTGAACAATCAAACTGTCTAATGCATTAATTGTCATTTATACACTTGTATTAACTCCCATTTTGACTCCAGGAAAAGTGTAATATTGGTTCGAGCTCGAGAAGGAATCTGGATACCAGTAACCTTACACAGACCTTGAGAATCTTCCCACTTAGTACATTTAATTAATGAAGTGTTACAACGAATTCTTAAAAGAACTAATAGATTTGTTTTCACTTTAATTGCTGTGATCTTGGGCCTAATTAGAGTCAGTGCACTGGCCGCTACTGCCAGAATGGCATTACATTAATCTATTCAAATCTCTCATTTTGTTAAGGATTGGCAAGCCAATTACACCCAAATGTGGAATTCTCAACAGGGCATTGATCAAAAATTAGCTAATCAAATTAATGATTTAAGACAATCTGTTATTTGGCTTGGAGATCTGCTAGTGAGTCTTGAACATTGCATGCAAATGCAGTGCAATTGGAATACTACTGATTTCTGTATCACACCATATTCCTACAGCAAGACTGATCATTCATGGGAAATGATGAAAGGACACCTTTTGGGTAGGGAAGATAACTTATCCTTAGACATAACTAAATTAAAGAAACAAATTTTTGGAGCCTCTCAAGCTCATTTATCCATTGTGCCTGCTGCTGAGGCGTCTGATCAGGTGGCAGAAAGTCTTTCCGGACTAAACCCCAATACTTGGATTAAGTCTATTGGTGGCTCCACTGTAGTAAATTTTGGATTTACGTTTCTCTGTTTAATTGGCTTGTTTTTAGTGTGCTGGACAAGTAAAAGAATCCTTCATCAAAACTGAGAGAATGAGCAAGCATTCATCTCCATGGCACATTTATATAAAAAGAAAGGAGAGATGTTGAGGGAAGTCAGGGACCCCAAAATGGAGGGACCGGCTGGAGCCATGGCAGAGGAACATAAATTGTGAAGATTTCATTTTAATAGGGACATTTATCACTTTCAAAATAAAACTTTCATAATTTCTTATCCTTGCCTTACTTTAATCTCTTAATCCTGTTATCTTCATTGGCTGAGGATGTACATCACCTCAGGATCACTCTGATCACTGGGTTAACTGCACAAATTGATTGTAAAATGTGTGTTTGAACAATATGAAATCAGGGCACATTGAAAAAGAGCAGAATAACAGCGATTTTTAGGGAACAAGGGAAGACAGCCATAAGGTGTGAGACATTTGGGAGCCCATTGAGGCCTATGCAAAAAAGTTGAATATCCACAGATTAAAACTAGAAAGAAGCTATCTGTGTAACTGCTTTGTGAAGTGTGGATTCATCTCACAGATTTACAACTTTCTTTGATTCAGCAGGTTGGAAAACTCCTTTTGGAGAATATGCAAAGGGACATATAAGAACCCATTAGTTCTAAGGGAAAAAAAAGCCAAATATCCCCATACAAAAACTAGAAAGAAACTATCTGTGAAACTGCTTTGGGATGTGTGGATTCATCTGACAGAATTAAACCCTTCTTTAGATTTCAGAAGTTGGAAACACTCTATTTGGAGAATCTGTGAAAGGACATTTGAGAGCTTATTGCTGCCTGGGGGAAAAACCCAATATCCTTAGATAAAAACTAGAAAAAAGGCTTCTGTGAAACTACTTTGTGATGTGTGGAAACTTCTCACGGAGTTAAACCTTTCCTTTCATTCAGCAAGTTGGAAACATTCTTTCTGGAGAATCTGCAAAGGGACGTTTTGGCACCCATTAAGGCCTATGGGGGAAAACAGATTATCCCCCAATAAAAACTGCAAAGGAGCTATCTGTGAATCTGCTTTGTGATGTGTGGTATCATCTCATAGAGTTAAACCTTTGTTTTGATTCACCATGTTCAAAACATTCTTTTTGGAGAATCTGTGAAGGGACATTTGGGAGCCCATGGAGGCCTATGGAGAATTACTGAATAAGCCCCAACAACAACAAAAAAAAAATAGAAAAAAAGAAATCTATGAAACTGCTTTGTGTTGTTTGGATTATTCTCACAGATAAAACCATTCTTCTGATTCGGCAGTTTGGAAAAACTGTTTTTGTATAATCTGTGAAGAAAAATATGTGAGCAAATTGAGGCCTAAAGGGAAAAATTGAATATCCCCTGATAAAATCTGGAATGAAGCTATCTGTGAAAACATTTTGTGATATGTGGATTTATCTGACATAGTTAAAACTTTCTTTTGATTCAGCAGGGTTGGAAACACTCTAACTGGGGAATCTGTGAAGAGACATTTGGGAGCTCTTTGATGCCTATAGGGATAAACTGAATACCCAAGGAAAAAAAGAAAACTAGAAAGAAGCTATCTGTGAAACTGCTTTTTGAGGTATGGATTCATCTCACAGAGTTGAAACTTTCTTTTGATTCAGCACATTGGAAAAACTTTTTTTTGGAGAATCAGTGAAGAGACATTTGGGAGCCCATTGAGCCTCTGGGGAGAAACAAAATATCCCCAGCTAAAAATTAGAAGGAAGCTATCTATGAAACTGCTTTGTGATGTGTGGATTCATCTCACAGATTTAAACCTGTGTTTTGAATCAGCAGATTGAAAACACTCTTTTTGAAGAATCTGTGAAGGGACATTTGGGAGCTCATTGAGGCCAATGGAAAAAAACTGAATGTCTCTGGATAAATACTAGAAATAAGCTATCTGTGAAACTGCTTTGTGAGGTGTGGATCCATCTCACAGAGTTAAACCTTTTTTGTTAATCCAGCATTTTGGAAACACTCCTTTTGGAGAACCTGTGAAGCAACATTTGGGAGCCCATTGAGAAATATGGGAGGAAAAACGAATATCCTCAGACAAAAACTAGAAAGAAGCTATCTGTGGAAGTTCTTTGTGATGTGTAGATTCACCTCACAGAGTCAAACCTTTCTTTTGATTCAGCAGGTTGGAAAACTCTTTTTAGAGAATCTGTGAAGGGACACTTGGAGCCCATTGAGTCCTATGGGAAAAAAACAGAATATGCCCAGATAAAAACTAGAAAGAGGGTATCTGTGAAGCTGCTTTGCGATGGGTGGATTCATCTCCGAAGGTTAAACCTTTCTTTTGATTCATCAGGTTGGAAACACTCTTTTTCGAGAAACTGAGAAGTGACACTTGGGAGCCTTTGAGTACTATGGGAAAAAACCCAATATCACCAGATAAAAACTAGAAAGAAGCAATCTGTGAAACTGCCTTGTGATGTGTGAATTCATGTCAGAGAGTTAGCTCTTTCTTTTTTTCAGCAGGTTGGAAACACTCTTTTTAGAGAATCTGTGAAGGGACATTTGGGAGCCCATTGAGGCCAAAGGGGAAAAACAGAATACTTTAAGATTAAAACTACAAAGAAGCTATCTGCAAAACTGCTTTGCGATGTGTGGATCATCGCACGTGGTTTAATCTTTTATTATTATAATTATTCAACAGGTTGGAAACCCTCATTTTGGAGAATCTGCAGAGAAATATTTGACTGCCCATTGAGGCCAATGGGGTAAAACAAAATATCCCTAGGTAAAAACTAGAAAGAAGGCATCTGTGAAACTGCTTTGCGATGTGTTGATTCATCTCACAGAGTTAAAATATTTTTTGATTCAGTAGGTTGGAAACACTCTTTTTGGAGAATCTGCAAAGCTATATTTGGGAGCCATTGAGGCCTATGGGAAAAAACTGAATATCTCCAGATAAAAACTAGAAAGAAGCTATCTGTGTAACTGTTTTGTGATGGGTGGATTCATCTCACAGAGTCAAAACTTTTTGTTGATTCAGCAGGTTGAAAGGACTGTTTTTAGAGAATCTGTGTAGGGACATTTGGGAGACCATTGAGATCTATGGAAAGAACGAATATCCCCAGGTGAAAACTAGAAAGAAGTTATTTGTGAAACTGCTTTGTGATGTGTGGATTAATCTGCAATAGTAAAGCCTTTCTTTTCATTCAGGAGGTTGGAAACAGTCATTTTGGGGAATCTGTGAAGGGACACTTGGGAGCCCATTGAGGCCTATGGGGAAAAAAGGAATATCCCCAGATAAAAACTACAAAGAAGCAATCTGTGAAACTGCTTTGTGATGTGTGGATTCAGCTCAGAGATTTAAACCTTTCTTTTGATTCAGCAGGTTGCAGATCTTCTTTTTATAGAATATACAAAGGTCAATTTAGGGGCCCTTTGAGGCCTATGGGGAAAAACAGATTATCCCCAGATAGAAAGAGAAGAATCTACCATGAAACTGCATTGTGATTTGTAGACTCACCTCACAGAGTTAAGCCTTTCTTTTATGCAGAAAGTGCCAAGCCCTTTTTTTGGAGAATCAACGAAGAAATATTTAGGACCCCATTGAGGCCTATGGGGAGAAACAGAATATCCCCAGATAGAAACAAGGGAGAAGCTATCAGTGAAACTGCCTCATGATGTGTGCATTCATTTCTCAGAATTAAACTTTTCTTTGGCTTCAGCATGTTGGAAACACTGTTTTGTAGAATCTGCGAAGGGACTTTTGAGAGCCCAGTGAGACCTATGGGGAAAAATTGAATATCCCCATGTGAAAATGACAAGGAACCTAGCTGTAAAACTGCTTTGTGATGTGTGTATTCATCTCATAGAGATAAAAGCTTCTTTTGATTCAGCAGGTTGGAAACTTTTTTTTTGAAGAATCTGCAAAGGGACATTTGGGAGCCCATTGAGGTCTATTTGATAAAGCTGAATATTCCCAGATAAAACTAGAAAGAAGTTGTCTGTGAAACTGCTTTCTGATGTGTGGATTCATCTCACAGAGTTAAACCTTTCTTGTGATTCAGCAGGTCAGAAACTCTCTAATTGGAGAATCTCTGAAGGGGCATTCTGGTGCACATTGGGTCCTATGGGGAAAAATCGAATATCCCCAGATAAAAACTAGAAAAAAGCTACCTGTGAAACTGCTTTGTGATGCCTGGATTCACTTCACAGAGCTAAACCATTTTTTTGTCTCTGCAAGTTGGAAACACTTCTTTTGGAGAATCTGCAAAGGGTTATTTGCAAGCCCATTGAGGGCTATGGGGAAAAACAAAATATCCCCAGATAAAAACTAGAAAAAAATCTATCTTTTACTCTGCTTTGTGATGTGTTGATTCATTTCACAGAGGTAAACTTTTACCTTGATTCTGCAAGTTGGAAACACTCTTTATAGAATCTGTGAAGGTCCATTTGGAAGCACATTGAGGCCTATGGAGAAAAACTGAATATCTCAAGATTAAAAACTAGAAAACAGCTTTTTGTGACACTGCTTTGTGATTTGTGGTTTCATCTCACAGAGTTCACCCTCTCTTTTGTTTCAGCAACTTGGAGGCACTCTTTTTGTAAAATCTACAGAGGGACATTTTGGAGCCCATTAAGGCCTATGGGAAATAATTGAATGTCCCAAGAAAAAAACTAGGAAAAAGTTACCTGTGAAACTGCTTTGTTATGTGTTGATTCATCTCATAGACTTAAACCTATGTCCTGATTCACCAGATTGGAAACATTCTTTATGGAGAATCTACGAAGGGCCATTTGGGAGCCCACTGAGGCTGATGGGGAAAGACTGAATACACCAGATAAAAACTAGAAGGAAGCTATCTGTGAGACTGCTTTGTGATGTGTGGATTCTTCTCACAGACTTAAAACTTATTTTCATTCATCAGGTTGGAAACACTCTTTTTGGAGAATATGCAAAGAAACATTTTGGAGCCCGTTGAGGCCTTGGGGAAAAACTGAATATATCCAGATAAAAACTAGAAAGAAGCTATCTGTGAAACTATTTTGTGATGTGGGGATCCATCTCACAGAATTAAACTTTCTTTTGGTTTAGCAGTTTGGAAACACTCTTTTTGTAGAATCTGTGAAGAAACATTTTTGGTCAAATTGAGGCCTAAGGGGAAATACAAATTATCCCCAGATAAAAACAACAAGAAGCTAACTGAGAAACTGCTTTGTTTTGTGTGGATTCATCTCATGGAATTAAACCTTTCTTTGGATTCACCAGTTTATAAACACTTTTTTTGGAGAATCTGTGAGGAGATATTTGGGAGCCCATGGAGGCATATGGAGGAAAACTAAACATTCCCAGATAAAAACTAGAAAGAAGCTATATGTGAAACTGGTTTGTTATGTGTTGATTCATTTCACAGAGATAAACCTTTATTTTGATTCAGCACATCAGAAACATGTTTTTTGAAGAATCTGCAAAGGGACTTTTGTGAGCAAATTGAGGCCAATCAGGAAAAACAAAATATCCCCAAATAAGAACTTGAAAAATATCTATGTGTCAAACTGACTTGTAATGTGTGGATTCATCTCAGAGTGTTAAACCTTTGACTTGATTCAGCAGGTTAGAAAAACTCTTTTTGGAGAATATCCAAAGGGACATTTGGCAGCCAATTGAGGCCTATGGTAAAAAAATGAATAATCAATGATTAAAAACTAGAAAGAAGCTATCTCTGAATCTGCATTGTGATGTGTGGATTCATCTCACAGAATTAAACCTTTCTTTTGATTCAGCATGTTGGAAACATTATTTTTGTAGAATCTGTGAAGAAACATTTGAGAGCAAATTGAGGCCTAAGGGGAAAAATGAAATATTCCCAGATAAAAATTACAAAGAAGCTATCTGAGAAACTGCTTCATTACGGGTGGATTCATTGCAAAGAATTAAACCTTTCTTTAGATTCAGCAGGTCATAAACACTCTTCTTGGAAAATCTGCAAAGGGACATTTTAAAGCCCATGGACACCTTTGTGGAAAAATATAATGTCCCCAGATAAAAATTAGAAAGAAGCTATCTGTGAAACTCCTTTGTTATATATGAATTCATCTCACAGAGGTAAAACTGTATTTTGATACATCAGGTTGGAAACACTCTTTTTGGAGAATCTGTGAACTGACATTTTGGAGGCCATTGAGGCCTATGGGGAAACACGAAATACCCCCAGATGAAAACTAGAAAGAAGCTATCTGTGAAACTGCCTTGTGGTGTGTGCATTCAGCTCACAAAGTTAAAAGTTTCTATTGATTCAGCAGGTTTTAAACATTCTTTTTAGAGAATCTGTAAAAGGATATTTCAGAGCTCATTTAGACCTATGGAGAAATACCAAATAAATCAAGATAAAAATTAGAAAGAAGCCCTCTGTGAAACTGCTTTGTGATGTGTGGATTGATCCCACAGAGTTAAACTTTTCTTTTGATCCAGCAGGTTGAAAGCACACCTTTTGTAGAATCTGCAAATGAACATTTGGCTGCCTGTTGAGGCCTATGAGAAGAAAGTAAATATCCTCAGATGAAAACAGGAAGGAAGCTCTCTGTGAAACAACTGATATGTGTGGATTCATCTCACAGAGTTAAACTTTGTTTTGATTCAGCAGGTTGGGAACAATGTTTTTGGTGAACCTGCGAATGGAAATTTCAGAGCCCACTGAGGCCTATAATTAAAAATCTAATCTCTCGAGATAAAAGCTAGAATGAAGGTATCCATGAAACTGATTTTTGATCTGGGGATCCCTGTTACAGAGATAAAACTTTCTTTTGATTCAGCAGGTGGAACACTCTTTTTAGACAATCTGCAAAGGGACATTTGGGAGTTCATTGAGACCTATGGGGAAAAACGAAATACCCCACATAAAAACTAGAAAGTCGCTATATGTGAAACAGTTTTGTGACATGTGGACTCATCTCAGAGATTTAAACCATTCTTTTGATCCAGCAGGTTGGAAACACTCTTTCTGTAGAATTGGAGAAAAGACATTTTGGTGCTCATTGGGGCCTTTGGGAAAAAAACTGAATATCCCCAGGTAGAAACTGGAAAGAAGCTCTCTGTGAAACTACTTTGTGTGGCCTGGATTCATCTCACAGAGTTAAAAATTCCTTTTGATCCAACAGGTTGGAAACACTCTATTTAAAGAATCCGCCAAGGGACATTTTAGAGCCCATTTAGGCCTATGAAGAAAAACAGAATATATGCAGATAAAAACTAGAAAGAAACTATCTGTGAAACTGCTTTGTGATGTGAAGATTCTTCTCACAGAGGGAAAACTTTATTTTTATTCCACAAGTTGGAAACACTCTTTTTGTAGAACATGCAAGGAAACATTTGGGATTCCATAGATGCTTATGGGAATAAACTGAATATTTCCAGATAAAAACTAGAAACAACCTAAATGTGAAACTGCTTGGTAATGGTTCAATTCATCTCACAAAGTTAAACTTTGTTTTGATTCAGCAGGTTGGAAACACTGTTTTGGAGAATGTGTGAAGGGACATTTGGGAAACCATTGAAGGCTATGGGGAAAACAAATTATCCACACATAAAAGCTACAAACAAGATATCTTACCTGTGAAACTGCTTTGTGATGTGTGAATTCAACTCACAAAGTTAAACCTTTCCTTTCATTCAGCAGGTTGGAAACACTCTTTTTCAAAAATACATAAAGGGACATTTGGGAGCCCATTGAGTCCTGTGAGGAAAAACTGAATATCCCCATATAAAAACTGCAAAGACGTTATCTATGAAACTGCTTTGGGATGTGTGAATTCATCTCACAGACTTAAACCCTTCTTCTGATTCAGCAGGTTGAAAATACTCTTTTCAAAGAATATGCAAAAAGACATTTGGAAGCCCATGAGGCCTAAGGAAAAAAAAAGGAATATTTTTTAGGGAAAAAATTGAAAAAATATCTGTGCAACTGCTTTGTGATGTGTGGCTTCATCTCCCACAGTTAAGCTATTCTTTTGATTCAGTAATGTGGAAACACTCTATTTGAAGTATCTGTGAAGGGACATTTGGAAGCCCATTGAGGACTATGAGTAAAACTGAATATTCCAAGATAAACACTAGAAAGAAACTATCTGTCAAACTGCTTTGTGATGTGTGGATTCATCTCACAGAGTTAAACATTTATTTTGATAAAGCAGGTTAGAAATAGTGTTTTTGGAGTAACTATGAAGAGACTTTTGGGAGCCCTTTGGGATCTATGGGGATAAATCGAATATCCCCAGAGAAAAACTGGAAAGAAGGTATCTGTAAAACTGCTTTGTGATGTATGGATTCATCTAACAGAGATAAACCTTTCTTTTGATACACTAGTTTGGAAATATATTTTTGTAGAATGTGTGGATTGACACTTTGGAGCCGATTAAGGCCTATAAATAAAAATTGATAACCCACAAGAAAAACTAAACAGAAGCTATCTTTGAAACTGCTTTGTATTGTCCGGGTTAGTCTCACAAAGTTAAAGATTTCTTTTGATCCAGTTAAACCACCCTTCTGATTCAGGAGGCTGGAAATGCTTTTGTTGGAGTATCTGCAAAGGGACATTTGGAAGCCCATTGAGTCCTATAAGTGAAAACTGAATATCCCCAGATACAAACTAGAGAGAAGATATCTGTGAAATTGTTTTGTGATGTGTGAATTCATCTCAAATAGTTAAACCTTTCTTTTGATCCAGCAGGTTGAAAACACTCTTTTTGAGAATCTGACAAGGGACATTTGTGAGCCCATTGAGGACTATGGGGAAAAACTGGATATCCCCAGAGAAAAACTAGAAAGAAGCTATCTGTGATACTTCTTTGTGATGTATGGATTCATTTCACATAATTAAATATCTCTGTTCATTCAACAGATTAGAAACAATCATTTGTAGAATCTGCAAAGAGATATTTGGGAGCCAACTGATGCCTATAAGTAAAAACTGAATATTCCCAGATAAAACCTAGAAAGAAGCTATCAGTGAAAATACTTTGTGATGTGTGGATTCAGCCCACAAAGTTAAATCTTTCTTTTGATTCACCAGGTTTAAAAGACTTTTTCAAGACTGAAACTGCTTTCTGATTTGTGAGTGCATCTCATAGAGTTAAACATTTCTTTTGATTCAGAAGACTGGAAATACTCTTTTGGGAGAATTTGCAAAGAAATATTTGAGAACCCATTGAAAACTTTGGGAAAAACCCAAGTATCCACAGATAAAAACTAGAAAGAAGCTATCTTTGAAACTGCATTTTGTTGTATGGATTCATCTCACAGAGTTAAACCTGTCTTTTGATCCAGCAGGTTTTAAACTCTCTTTTTGGAGAATCTGCAAAGGGACATTTAGATGCTCTTGGAGGCCTACCAGGAAAAGCTGAATATGTGATTTACATATTTCATATTGGGATATTCCCTTTTGCCCCATAGACCTCAATAGGCTCACAAATATCCCTTCACATCTGTTCCAAAAAAGAGTGTTTCCAACCTGCTGATTCAAATGAAAAGTTTAACTGTGTGAGATGAAACTGCACATCACAAAGCAGGTTCACAGAAAGCTTCTTTCTAGTTTTCTTCTGGCAATACTGGGTTTTTCCCCATAAGCCTCAGTGGGCCCCCAAATATCTCTTCACAGATAATATAAAAAGAGTGTTTCCACCCTGTTGAATCATAAGAAAGATTTTACTCTGTGAAATAAATCCACATATCAAAAAGCAGTTTCAAAGAAAGCTTCTTTTAAAATTTTTAATGGAGATATTCTGTTTTTCCCAACAGTCCTCAATAGGTTACCATAAGTCCCTTCACAGATTCTCCAAAATGAGTGTTTCCAACTGGCTGAAATAAAAGAAAGGTTTAATCTTGTGCAATGAATCCACACATCACAAAACAAGTTTATAGATAGCTTCTTTCTAGTATTCATCTGGCTATATTCGATCTTTCTCTCTAGACCTCAATGAGCTCCCAACTATGCCTTCTCAGATTCTCCTAAAAGAGTGTTTGCAACCTGGTGAATCAAAAGAAAGATTTAATTCTGTGAGATGAATCCACACATCACAAAACATTTTCATAGATAGCTTCTTTCTAGTTTTTATCTGGGGATATTCTGTTTATTTCTATTGGCCTCAAGAGGCTTCCAAATGTCTCTTCACAGATTCTTCAAAAAGTGTTTCAAATCTGCTCAATCAAAAGAATGGTTTAACTGTGTGAGATGAATCCACACATTACAAAGCAGTTTCACAGATAGCTTCTTTCTAGTTTTTCTCTAGAGATATTCAATTTATCCCCATAGGACCCTGTGGGCTCCCAAATGTCCTTTCACAGATTCTCCAGAAAGAGTGTTTCCAACCTGGTGTATCAAAACGAAAGTTTAACTGTGTGTGATGAATCCACACATCACAAAGCTTTTTCACACACAGCTTCTTTCTATATTTATCTGGGGATATTTTTTTTCCTCCATAGGCCAAAATGGGTTCCCAAATGTCCCTTTGAAAATTCTCCAAAAAGAGTGTTTTCACCCTTCTGAATCAAAAGAAAGGTTTAATTCTGTGATATAAATTCAGACATCACAAAGCAGTTTCACAGATAGCTTCTTTCTAGTTTTTATATGGGGAATTTCTGTTTTGCCTTACAGGACTCAAAGAGCTTTCAAATGTCCCTTTGCAGATGCTCCAAAAAGAGTGTTTCGAACCTGCTAAATCAAAAGAATGGTTTAACTCTGTGAGATGAATCCACATGTCACAAATCCATTTCACAGATAGCGTCTTTCCTGTTTTTATCTGGGGATATTTGCTTTTCCCCCATAGGCCTCAATAGACTCCCAAATGTCCCTTCACAGGTTCTCCAAATAGAGTGATTTCTATCTGCTGAATAAAAAGAAAGGTTTAACTCTGTGAGATAAATCCACACATCAAAAGGCAGTTTCACAGATAGCTTCTTTCTCGTTTTTATCTGGGGATATTCACTTTTTCCCCACAGGCCCCAGTGGGCTCCAAAATGTCCCTTTGCTGATACTCCAAATAGAGTGTTTCCAAACTGCGAATCAAAAGAAGGTTTTAACTCTGTGAGATTAATCCACAAATCAAAAGGCATTTCACAGATAGCTTCTTTCTAGTTTCTATCTGCTCTATCTGGGGATATTCAGCTCTTCCACATTGGCCTTAATGGGCTCCAAAATGTTTCATTGCAGATTCTCTAAAAAGTCTTTCAAACCTGTTGAATCAAAATAAGGTTTAACTCTGTGAGATGACCCACACATCACAAGTGGTTTTAAGAGACCTTCTTTGTACTTTTTATCAGGGAATACTCGGTTTTGCCCATAGGCTTCAGTGTGCTCCAAATGTGCATTCGTAGATTTTCAAAATAGATGGTTTCCAAACTGCTGAATCAAATGAAAGCTTTAAGTCTGTGAGATGGATCCACACATCACAAAGCAATTTCACAGATAGCTTCTTTCTAGTTTTTATCTGGGGACATTCGGATTATTTCCATTGGCCTCAAGTGGCTCCTAAATATTCCTTCACAGATTCTCCAAAAAGAGTATTTTTAAAACTGCTGTAACAAAATAAATGTTTAACTCTGTGAGATGAATCCACACATCACAAAGGAGTTTCAAAGATAGTTTCTTTCTAGTTTTTATCTTGGGATATTACGTTTTTCCCCATAGGCATCAAAGGGCTCAAAAATGTCCCTTTGCAAATTATCTAAAAAAAGCGTTTCCAACCTGCTGAAACAAAATAAAGTTTTTATTATATGAGATGATTCCACACATCACAGAGCAGTTTTACAGAAAGCCTCTTTCTAGTTTCTATCCAGGGATATTCAATTTTTCCCCATAAGTTTCAATGGTCTCTCAAATGTCAGAGCGAGTGTTTCCAACCTGCTTAATGAAAAGAAAAATTAAACTCTGTGAGATGAATTGACATATCACAAATCTGTTTCACACAAACATTTATCTGGTGATATACTGTTTTTCCCCTAGGCTTCAATGGGCTCCCAAATATCTCTTTGCAAATTCTCCAAAAAGAGTGCTTTCAACCTTTTGAATCAAAGAAAAGGTAAAAATCCGTGAGATGAATCCACACATCAATTAGCAGTTTCACTGATAACTTATTTGTAGTTTTTATCTAGGAATAGTTTTTCCCTTAGGCCTGAATAAGCTCCAGAATGTCCCTTCACAGATTTTCCAAAAAGAGTGTTTCCAATCTGCTGGATCAATGGAAATGTTTAATTCTTGCAGATGAATCCACACATCACAAAGCAGTTTCACACATAGCTTCTTTCTAGGTTTTATATGGGGATGTTCATTTTTTCCCCATAGGACTTAATGGGATCACAAAGATCCCTTTGCAGATGCTCCAAAAAAGGTGTTTCCAACCTGCTGAATCAAAGAAAGATTTAACTCTGTGAGATGAATCCACACATCACAGAACAGTTTCACAGATAGCTTCATTCTACTTTTTTATCTGGTGATATTCACTTCTTCCCCACAGTCCTCACTGGGCTCTAAAATGTTCCTTCGTAGAGTCTCCAAATAGAGTGTTTCCAAACTGCTGAATCAAAAGAAAGTTTTAACTCTGTGAGATTAATCCACACATCACAGAGCAGTTTCACAGATACGTTCTTTCTAGTTTCTATATAGCGATATTTGCCTTTTACACTTAGGACTTAATGGGCTCCCAAATGTTTCATCGCAGATTCTCCAAAAAGAGTGTTTCCAACCTGTTGAATCAAAATAAGCTTTACCTCTGTGAGATGACCCACACATCACAAGCAGTTTCAAGATATCTTCTTTGTACTTTTTATAAGACAATAATCGTTTTTACCCCATAGGCCTCTGTGGGCTCCCATTTGGGATATTTATCCCTTAGCAGACTCTCAAAAAAGACTGTTTCCAACTTGCTGAATCAGAAGAAAGATTTAACTCTGTGAGATGAATCTACACATTATAAAGCAAGTTCACAGATAACTTCTATCTAGTTTTCCTCTGGAAATATTTGGTTTGCCAGAAAGGCCTCAATGGGCTTCCAAATGTCCCTTCACAGATTCTCTCAAAAGAGTGTTTCCAACCTGAAGAATCAAAAGAAAGCTTTAAGTCTGTGAGACGAATCCACAAATCACAAAGCAGTATCACAAATAGCTTCTTTCTCATTTTCATCTGGGGATATTCCATTTGCCCCACAGGTCTCAATGGGCTCCCAAATATCCCTTTGCAGCTGCTCCAGAAAAAATTGTTTCCAACCTGCCAATTCAAAAAAAAGTGTTATCTCTGTGAGATGAATCCACACATCACGAAGAAGTTTCACAGATAGTTTCCTGCTAGTTTTTTTCTGGGGATATTCGGTTTTGGCCCATAGGCCTAAAGGGGCTCCAAAATGTCTTTTTGTAGATTCTGTAAAAACAGTGTCTCCAAACTGTTGAATCAAAAGAAAGGTTTAAATCTGTGAGATGAATCCACACATCAAAAACCAGTTTCACAGATAGCTTCTTTCTAATTTTTAACTGAATATATTCAGTTTTGCCCCATAGGACTCAACAGGCTCAGAAATGCCCCTTCACAGACACTTGAAAAAGAGTCTTTTAAACCTGGTGAATCAAAAGAAAGATTTAAGTCTGTGAGATGAATCCACACATCACAAAGAATTTCCACGGACAGACAGCTCCTTTCTAGTTTTTATCTGGGGATATCCAGTTTATTTCCATTGGCCTCAAGAGGCTCTCAAATGTCCATTTGCAGATTCTTCAAAAAGAGGGTTTCAAACCTGCTCAATCAAAAGAATGGTTTAACTGTGTGAGATGAATCCACACATTAGAGTGCAGTTTCACATATAGCTTCTTTCTAGTTTTTCTCTAGAGATATTTGATTTATCCCCATAGGCCCCTGTGGGCTCCCAAATGTCCTTTCGCAGGTTCTCCAGAAAGTGTTTCCAAACTGTAGTAGCAAAAGAAAGGTTTATCTCTGTGTGATGACTCCACAAATCACAAAGATGTTTCACACAGAGATTCTTTCTTGTTTTTATCTGCGGATAATTCATTTTTCCCTGTATACATCAATGGGCTCCCAAATGTCCCTTCACAGATTCTGCAAAAAGAGTGTTTTCAACTTCCTGCATCAAAAGAAAGGTTTGTCTCAGTGAGATGAATCCACATCTCACGGAGTAATTTTACAGATAGCTTCTTTCTAGTTTTGATCTGAGGATATTGTGTTTTTTGCTACTGGCCTCAATGAGCTCCCGAATGTCCCTTTGCAGATTCTCTAAAAAGAGTGTTTCCAACCTGTTGAGTCAAATGAAAGATTTACCTCTGTGAAATGAATCCCCACCTCAAAAAGCAGTTTTTCCAATAGCTTCTTTCTATTTTTTTATCTGGGGATATTCTGTTTTTTTCCACTGGCCTCAATGAGCTCCCCAGTGTCCCTTTGCAGATTCTCTACAGAGAGTGTTTCCAACCTGGTGAGTCAAACGAAAGGTTTAACTCCATGGCATGAATCCACACATGACAAAGCAGTTTCACAGATAGCATCTTTCTAGTTTTGTTCTGGGGATATTGGTTTTGTTGTTGTTGTTGTTAGGTTTCAATGGCTTCCAAACTGTCCTTTCAGTGATTCTACAAGAGTGTTTCCTACCTGCTGGATCAAAAGAAAGTTTTAACTCTGTGTGATGAGTCCAAGCAACATAAAGCAGTTTCAGAGTTATCTTCTTTATAGTGCTTGTCTGATGATTACCTGTTTTTACTTATAGGCCTTAATGGGCTCCCAAATATCTTTTTGCAGTTCCCACAAAAGGAGTGTTTCCAACTTTCTGTATGAAAAGAAAGTTTTAACTCTGTGAGTTCAATCCAAATATCACAAAGCAGTTTTACAGACAGCTTCTTTCACCTTTTATATGGGGATATTCACTTTATCCTCACAGACCTCAATGGGCTCCCAAATGTCTTTTCAGAGGTTCTAGAAAAAAGAGTATTTCCAACCTGCAGAATCAAAAGAAATGTTGAAATTTGTGAGATGCATCCACGTGTAACAAAGCAGTTTAACAGATAACTTCATTCTACTTTTTATCTGGGGATATTCAGTTTTTCTGCTAGGCATCAATGGGCTCCAAAATGTACATTCACAGATCCTACAAAAAAAGTGTTTCCAACCTGCTGGATCAAAAGAAAGGTGTAAATCTGTGAGATGAATCCACACATCACAAACCAGTTTCACAAACTTATTTCAGTTTTCATCTGGGGATATTCAATTTTTCCTTATAGGTTTCAATGGACTTCCAATTATCCCTTCACAGATTATACAAAGAGAGTGATTTGAACCTGCTGAATCAAAAATAAAAGTTTAACTCTGTGAGATGAATCCTCACATTGCAAAACAGTTTCACAGATACCTTCTTTCTAGTTTTTATCTAGGGATATTCAATTTTCTTCCTAGGCCTCAATGGGCTCCAAGACGTCACTTCATAGATTCTCCAAAAAGAGTTTTTCCAACCTGCTGAATTAATTAAAATGATTAACTCTGTAAGATGAATCCAGCTATCATAAAGCAGTTTCACAGGTAGCTTTTTTCTAGTATTTACCTGGGGATATTTGTTTTTTCCCAGTGGCCCAAATGGGATCTCAAATGTCCCTTCACAGATTCTACAAAAACAGTGTTTTCAATCTGCTGCATCAAAACAAAGGTTTAACACTTTGAGATGAATCCACACATCAAAAAACATTTTCACCAATAGCATCTTTCTAGGTTTTTCCCCTTAGGGCTCAATTGTCTACAAAACGTCCTTTTGCTGATTGTCTAGAAAGAGTGTTTCCACCCTGCTAATTAAAAGAAGCTTTAACTCTGTGAGATAAATCCACACATACAAAGCGGTTTCACAAAACGCATCTTTCTAGTTTTTACTTGGGGATATTCAATTTTTCTCCATAGGCCTCAATGGGCTCCCAAATGTCCCTTCACAGGTTCTAGAAAAAGAGTGTTTTGAACCTGCTGAATTGAAAGAAAATTTTAATTCTGTGATTGAATTTACACATCACAAAGCAGTTTCACAGGTAGCTACTTTCTAGTTTTTATCTTGGGATATTCAATTTTCCCCCTATGCATCAATAGGTTCCAAAATGTCTCTTTGCAGATTCTCCAAAAAGAGTTTTTCCAACCTTTGGAATCAATACAAACATTTAACACTGTAAGATAAATCTGCACATCACAAAGAAGTTTCACAGATTGCTTCTATATAGGTTTTATCTGAGGATGTTAGGTTTTTCCTCATGGGCCTCAATGGGCTCTCGAATATCCCTTTGCAGATTCTTCAAAAAGAGTGTTTCCAAAGTGCTGTACAATAAAACGTTTTAACTCTTTGAGATGAATCCAAACATCACAAAGCAGTTTCACAGATATCTACTTTCTAGGTTTTCTCTGGGAATATTTGGTTTTGTTCCATAGTCCTCATCCACTACAAAATGTCCCTTCGCTGATTCTACAAAAAGAATGTTTCCAACCTGCTGAATCAAAAGAAAGGTTTAAACTTGTTAGATGAATTTACAAATCACAAAGCAGTTTCACTTAGCTTCTTTCTGGGTTTTACCTGCACATATTGGTTTTACCAAATAGGCTTCAGTGGGCTTTGTGATATGTGAATTCATCTCACAGAGGTAAATTTTTCTTTTGATTCACCAGGTTCAAAACACTTTTTTTGGAGAATCTGCAAAGGGACATTTGGGAGTCCATTGATGACTATGGGGAAAAGTCAAATATTTGCAGATAAAAACTTGGAAGAAAGTATCTATGAAACTGCTTTGTGAAGGTGATTCATTTCACAGAGTTTAACTTTTCTTTTGATTCAGCATGTTGGGAGTGCTCTTTTTGGAGAATAGTCAAAGAAATATTTGAGAGCCCTTTGAGTCCTATGAGGGAAAAACTGAATATCCCGAGATAAAAACTAGAAATAAGCTATCTATGAAACTGCTTTTTGATTTCTAGATTCATCTCACAGAGTTAAACCTTTCTATTGATCCAGCTGGTTGGAAACACTCTTTTTCTAGAATCTGTGAAGGGACTTGTGGGAGCTTATTGAGGCCTATGAAGAAAAACAGAATATTCCCAGATAAAAACTAGAAATAAGCAATCTGTGAAACTGCTTTGTTATGCGTGGATTCATCTCACAGAGTTAAAACTTCGTTTTGATTCAGCAGTTTGAAAACAATATTTTTAAAGAATCTGAGAAGGGACATTGGAGAACCCATTGAAACCTTTGGGGAAAAACTTAGTATCCCAGATAAAAACCGGAATAAAGTTATCTGTGAAAGTGCGTTGTCACTTGTGAACTTATCTCACAGAGTTAAACCTTTCTTTTGATTCAGCATTTTGTAAACACTATTTTTAGGGAATCTGCATAGAGACATTTTGGAGCCAATGGAAGCCTATGGGGAAAAAAGGAATATCCCAAGATAAAAACTAGAAAGTAGGTATCCATCAAACTGCTTGGTGATTTGTGGATTTATCTCACATAGTTCAAACATTCTTTAGGTTGAGCAGGTTGGAAAAACTTTTTTTAGAATATGGAAAATAATATTTTGAAGGCATTTGAGGCCTAGAGGGTAAAACTGAATATCCCCAGATAAAAACTAGAAAGAAGTTATCTGATAAACTGATTTACGATGTGTGGATTCATCTCACAGAGTTAAAACTTTCTTTTGATTCAGCATGTTGGAAAGTACCTTTTTAGAGAATCTGTGTAGGAACATTTGGAAACCCAGTGATGCCTACTGGGAAAAACCAAATATTGCCAGATAAAACATAGGAAGAAGCTATCTGTGAAACAGCTTTGTGATGTGTGGATGCATCTTACAGAATTAAACCTTTCTTTTGATTCAGGAGGTTGGAAACACTGTTTTGGAGAATCTGTGAGGGGACATTTTTGAGCCCATTGAGGCCTATGGGGAAAAACTGAATATCCTGAGGGAAAAAACTAGAAAGAAGCTATCTGTGAAACTATCTGTGAAACTAGAAAGGAGTTATTTGTGAAACATCTGTGATGTGTGGATTCATTTAAGAGAGTTAAACCATTGTTTTGTTTCAGCACGTGGTAAACCCTCTTTTTGGAGAATATAAGAAAGGGTATTTAAGAGCCCACTGAGTCCTATAGGGAAAAACAAAATATCCCCAGATAAAAACTATAAAAAAGCCATAAGTAAAACTGCTTTGTGACGTGTGCATTTATCTAACAGTGTTAAGCCTTTTTTTTATTCAGCAGGTTGGAAACAGTCTTTCTGGAGAATCTGTGAATAAACATTTGGAGTACATCAAGGCCTATGAGGAAAAGTGGAATATCCCCAAATAAAAACTAGAAAGAAGCTATCTCTGAAAACTGATTTGTGATGTGTGTATTCATCACACAGAGTTACACCTTTCTTTTGATTTGGCATGTAGGAAACACTCTATTTGGATAATCTGTGAAGGGACATTTGGGAGCACGTTGAGGTTTATAGGTAAAAACACTATATCCCAAGATAGAAAGTAGAAAGAAGCTATCTGTGAAACTGCCTCATGATGTGTGGATTCCTCTCAGAGAGTTAAACCTTTGTTTTGATTCAGCAGGTTGGAATCACTCTTTCTGCAGAATCTGTGGGGGGACATTTGGGAGCATTGAGGCCTACAGGAAAAAGCTGAATATCCCCAGATAAAAACTAGAAAGAATCTATCTGTTAAAGTGCTTTGTTATGTGTGGATTTATCTCACAGAGCTAATACTTTCTTTTCATTCATCAGGTTGGAAACACTCTTTTTGTTGAACCTGTGAAGTGATATTTGGGAGCCCATTGTGGATTATAGGGAAAAACAAAATATACCCAGATAAAAATTAGAAAGAAGCGATCTTGAAACTTCTTTGTGATGTGTGCATTCATCTCATAGTGTTAAAGCATTCTTTTGCTTCAGCAATTTGGAACACTTTTTTTTTGAGAATCTCTGATGGGACATTTAGGAGCCCACTGACGCCTAGGTTAAAAGCCTAACATACTTAAATAAAAACTAGAAAAAAAGCTATCTGTGAAACTGCTTTGTGATGTGTGGATTATTCTCACAGAGTTATAACTTCCTTTGATTCAACAGGGTGGAAACACACCTTTCAGAGAATCTGCTAAGTGACATTTGGAAGCCCATCGAACCCTATAGGGAAATATCAAATATCCCTAGATAAAAACTAGAAAGAAGCTATCTGTGAAAGTCCTTCATGATGTGTGGGTTCATCTCAAAGAATTAAAGCTTTTTTTAAATTTAGTAGCTTGGAAACACTCTTGGAGAATCTGCTAAGGGACATTTTGGAGCCCATTGAGGCCTATGGAGAAAAGCTGAATATCCCCAGATCAACACTAGAAAGTAGCTATCCATGAAACTGCATAGTGATTTGTGGATTCATCTCATAGAGTTAAAACTTTCTTTTGATTTAGCAGGTTGGAAACACTCTTTTTGGAGAATCTGTGAAGAGATATTTGGGATCCCGTTGAAACCTAAAGGGAGAAAAGGAGTATACCCAGATAAAAACTAGATATAAGCTATCTGTGAAACTTCCTTGTGATGTGCGGATTCATCCCACAGAGATAGACCTTTCTATTGATTCAGTAGTTGGGAAACATTGTTTTTACAGATTCTACGGAGAGACATTTGGGAGCCCTTGGTGGCCTAAATGGAAAAACCAACAATCCCCAGATAAAAACTAGTAAGAAGCTATGTGTGTAACTATTTTGTGAAGTGGGGATTCATCTCAAACAGTTAAACCTTTGTTTTTATTCAGTACTTTGGAAACATTCTTTTTGGAGAATCAGTGAAGGGACATTTTGGAGCCCATTGAGTCCTTTGGGGTAAAACTGAATATCCTCAGAAAAAAATAGTAAGAAGCTCTCTCTGAAACTGCTTTGTAATGTGCAGATTCATCTCACAGAGATAAAACTCTTTTTTTGTTTCAGCAGGTTGGAAACCCTCTTTTTGGAGAATATTTAAACGCACATTTGAGAGTCCATTTATGTGTTTAAGAAAAAACTGTATATCCCCAGAAAAAAAGCTAGAAAGAAGATATATATGAACTTTCCTTGTATTGACTCATTTCAAAGAGTTACTCTTTTTCTTTGATTCAGCACGTTGGAAACACTCCTTTTGGAGAATCTGTGAAGAGACATTTGGGAACCCATTGAGACGTATGGTGAAAGAGAAAATTTCTCGAGATGAAAAGTAGAAATAAGCAATCTGTGAAACTGCTTTGTGATGTGTATGTTCATCTCACAGAAATAAAACTTTCTTTTGATTTAGCATTTTGGAAACACTTTTTTGGAGAATCTGTGAAGGTACATTTTGGAGCCCATGGAGTCCTGTGGGGAAAAACCAAATATCCACAGATAAAAGCTAGAAAGAAGCTATGTGTGAAACAACTTTGTGATGTGTGAATTTATCTCACAGAATTCAACCTTTCTTTTGATTCAGCAGTTGGAAACACTGTTTTTGGAGATTATGTGAATGGACATTTTGTAGCTGACTGAAGTATATGCGTAAAAATTGGATAACCCCAGATAAAAACTAGAAAGACATATATGTAATATTGCTTTGTGATGTGTATATTCATCTCACAGAGTTAATATTTTTTTACTCAGCTGGTTGAAAACAATCTTTTTGGAGAATCTGTGAAGGAACATTTGGGAGCCTATTAAAGACTATGGATGATAACCAAATATTCCCAGATAGAAAATAAAAAGAAGCTATCTTTGAAATTGATGTGATATGTGGATTCATCTCAAAGAGTCAAACTTTTCTTTTGATTCAGCAGGCTGAAAACCCTCTTTTTGTAGAACTATGAAGGGACATTTGTGAAGCCTCTGGAGAAAAACTGAATATCCCCAGATAAAAACCAGAAAGAAGTCATTCGTGAAATTGCTTTGTGATGTGTGCATTCCTCTTACACAGTTAAACCTTTGTTTTGATTCAGGAGATTTGAAACATTCTTTTTGGAGAAACTGCGAAGGGACATATGGGAGCCCATTGAGGACTCTGCAGAAAAACCAAGTGACCCCAGAGATAACCTAGAAAGTAGCTATCTGTGAAACTGCTTTGAGATGTGTGGATTCATCTCACAGAGTTTAACTTTTCTTTTGATTCAGCAGTTTGGAAACATATTTTTGGAGAATTTGCAAACGGACCTTTGAAAGCCCATTGATGCCTATGGGGAAAAACTGAATATTCCCAGATAAAAACTAAAAAGAAGTTATCTGTGAAACTTCTTTGTGATGTGTGGATTCATCTCACAGAGCTAAACATTTTTTTTGATTCACCACATTGGAAATGCTTTTTCTGAAGAATCTGCAAAGGGACATTTGGGAGCCAATTTAGGCCAATGGGGAAAAAAATCCGCAGATAAAAACTAGAAAGAAGCTATCTGTGAAACGATTTGTGATGTGTGGATTTCTCTCATACAAGTAAAACTGCCTTTTAATACATCAGGTTGGAAACACTGTTTTTGGATATTCTGTGAAGAGACATGTAAGAGCCCATTGAGGCCTATGGGAAAAAACCGATTATCCAGATAAAAACTGGAATGAAGCTATCTGTGAAAGTGCTCTCTGAGGTGTAAATTCATCTCACATTGTTGAAACATTTTTTTAATTTCATAGGTAGGAAATTAAATTTCCATATCCATTTTGGAAAATCTGTGACAGGACATTTGGGAACCCATTTGGGCCTCTGGGTAGAAACCAAATATCCGCAGACAAAAAATAGAAGGAAGCTATCTGTAAAACTGCCTTGTGATGTGTACATTCAACTCCCAGAGTTAAAACTTTCTTTTTATTCAGCAGGTAAGAAACACTATTTTTGGAGAATCTACAAAGGACATTTTGGAGCCCATTGAGGCAAATGGTGAAAAACTGAGAATCCTAAGATAAAAATTTAAAGAAGCTATCTATGAAAGCTCTTTGTGATGTGTGAATTCATCATACAGAATACAACATTTCTTTTGATTCAGCACGTTGGAAGCACATCATTTTGGAGAATCTGTGAATGGACTTTTAAGAGCCCATTGAGGCCTATGGGGAAAAGCGAAATATCCCCAGATAAAAACTAGAAAGAAGCTATCTGTGAAACTACTTTGTGATGTGTCAATTCATCTCACAGATTTAACCCTTTCTTTTGACTCAGGAGGTTGGAAACACATCTATTTGGAGAATCTGTAAAGGGACACTTGAAAGCCCATTGAGGCCTTTGGGGAAAAAGTGAAAATCCCCAGATAAATACTAGAAAGAAGCTATCTGTGAAACTTCTTTGTGAAGTGTGGATTCATCTCACAGATTCAAAAATTTCTTTTGGTTCAGCAGGTTGGAAACACTCTTTTTGAAGTATGTGCGAAGGGTCATTTGAAAGCCCATTGAGGGCTATGGGGAACAATGAATATTACCAGATGGAAATTAGAAAGAACCTATGTGTGAAACTTATGTGATGTGATGTGTGGATTCACATCATAGAGTTAAAACTTTCTTATGATTCACCTGGTTGGAAACACACATTTTGGCGAATCTGTGAAGGGACATTTAAAAGCCCATTGAGGCCTATGGGGAAAAACAGAATATCTCCAGATAAAAAAAATAGAAAGAAGATATCTGTGAAAATATTTTGTGATGTGTGGATTCATCTTACAGAGATAAACCAATTCCTTTGATTCAGCAGGTTAAAGACACTCTTTTTAGTGAATCTGTGATGGAATATTTGGGAGCCCATTGAGGCTTACAGGGAAAAATCTAATATCCCAAGATAGAAACTCAAAGAAGCTACGTGAGAAACTGATATGGTGTGTGGATTCATCTCACAGAGTTAAAACATTCTTTTGATTCAGCAAATTGGAAGCACTCTTTTTGGAGAATCTGCAATAGGAAACTTTGGAGCCCATTGAGGGCTATGGGGAACAGCCGAATATCCACAGATAAAAACTAGAAAGAATCTATCTGAAACTGCTTTGCGATTTGTGGAAACATCTTTCAGATTTAAAATTTTCTTTTGATTCAACAGGATGGAAACATTTCTTTTTGGAGGATCTGAGAAGGGACATTTGGGAGCCCATTGAGGCCTATGGGAAAAAATTGAATATCCCCAGCTAAAAACTAGAAAGAAGCTACCTCTGAAACAGCTTTGTGATGTGTGGACTCTTATCACAGAGTTAAAACAGTCTTGTGACTCAGCAGTTGGAAATATTCTTTTTGGAGAATCTGTGAAGGGATATTTAGGAGCTCATGGAGGACTATGGGAAAAAAAATCCCCAGGTAAAAATTAGAAAGAAGCTATCTGTGAAACTGCTTTTCAGTGATTTGTGGATACATCTCATAGAGTTAAAACTTTCTTTTGATTCAGCAGGATGTAAACACTCTTCAGAAAATCTGCAAAGGAATATTTTGCAGCCCATTGAGGCCTAGGGCAAAAAAAACGAATATATCCTGATAAACACTCCAAAGAAGCTAGCTGTGAAACTATTTTGTGATGTGTGGATTTAGCTCAGATAGCTAAACCATGCTTTTGAATCAGCAGGTTGGAAACACTTTTTGGAGTATCTACGAAGGGACATTTGGGAGCCCATTTTGGCCTATGGAAAAAAACCCGAATATCCCCAGATAAAATCTACAAAGAAACTATCTGTGAAACTGTTTTGTGTTGCATGCATTCATCTCACAGAGTTAAACGTTACTTTTGACTCAGCTAGTTGAAAACACTCCTTTTAGAGAATCTGTGAAAAAATATTTGGGAGCCCATTGAGGCCTATGTGGAAAAATAGAATATCCTAAGGTAGAAAATTGAAAGAAGCTATGTGTGAAACTGATGCGACGTGTGGATTCATTTCACAGAGTTAAGCCTTTCTTTTGGTTCAGCAGGTTGGAAACACTTTTTGGAAAATTTGTGAATGGACAATTGGCAACCCATTGAGGTCTATGGGACAAAACAAAGTATACCCAGATAAAAACTAGAAAGAAATTATCTGTGAAATTTCTTTGTGATGTGTGGATGCATCTTACAGTGTTAATCCCTTCTTTTCATTCAGCAGGTTTGAAACACGTCTTTTTGGAGAACATGCAAAGAAATATTTGGGAGCCCAATTAGGTCTATGGGACAAAACTGAATACTCCCAGAGAAAAACTAGAAAGAAGCTATCTGTGAAACTGCTTTTTGATGTGTGGATTCATCTCAGAGAGTTAAGACTTTTTTTTGATTCAGGAAGTTGAAAACACTGTTTTTGGAGAATCTGTGAATGGACATTTTGGACCCCTTTGTTGCCTATGTGGAAAAATACAATATGTGATGTTTGGATTCATGTCAGAGAATTAAATCTTCCTTTAGACTCAGTTGGTTGGGAACATTGTCTTTGCAAAATGTGTGAAGGAAAATTTTGGATCCCATTGAGGCCTATGGGGAAAAATGGAATATCCACAGATAAAAACTAGAAAGAACTATTTGTGAAACTGCTTTGTGAAGTTTGGGTTGATCTCTTTGAGATAAACATTTCTTTTGATTCAGCAGGTTGAAAACTCTTTTTGGAGAATCTGCAAATAGACATTTTGGAACACCTTGTAGCCTATGGGGAAAAACCAAATATCCTCATAAAAAAACTAGAAAGAGGCTAACTGTGAAACTACTTTATAATGTGTACATTCATCTCACAGAGTTAAAGCTTTTATTGATTCAGAAGGTTAGAAACATTCTTTTTGGAGAATCTGTTAAGGGACATTTAGGAGCCAATATAACCTACAGTGAAAAGCTGAATATTCCCAGATCACCATAGCTATCCGTGAAAGTGCTTTATGAGGTGTGGACTCATCTCTCAGAATTAAAACTTTCTTTTGATTCAGCAGGTTGGAAACACTGTTTTAGGAGAAACTGTGAAGGGACATTTGGGAGTTCATTTAGGCCCATGGGAAAAACTGAGTATCCCCAGATAAAAAGTAGAAAGAAACAATCTGTGGAACTCTTTTGTGATGTGTGGATTCATCTCACCAAGTTAAAATTTCCCTTTGATTCAACAGGTTGGAAACATATTTTTTTGAAGAATCTGAGAATAGATATTTGGGAGTTTATTTAGGCTTATGTGAAAAACCCAATATCACCAGGTACAAACAAGAAAGATGCCATCGGTGAAACTGCTTTGTGATGTGTGGATTCATCTCGCAGAGTTAAACATTTCTTTTGATACTGCAGGTTGGAAACAGTCTTTGTGGAAAATCTGTGATGGGACATTTAAGAGCCCTTTTAGGTCTATGGGGCAAAACGGAATATCCCCAGATAAAAACTAGGAAGAAGCTATTTGTGAAACTGCTTAGAGATATGTGGATTCATCTCACAGAATTTACCCTTTCTTTTGACTCAGGAGGTTAGAAACACATCTATTTGGAGAATCTGCAAAGGGACATTTGAAAATCCATTGAGGCCTATGGGGAAATACTGAAAATGTTTTGTGATATGTGGATTCATCTCACAGAGTTAAACCTTTCCTTTGATTCAGCAGGTTGGAGACACTTTTTTGAGAATATATGAAGGGATATTTGGGAGCCCATTTTAGCCTATGGAAGGAAAACGAATATGCCCAGAAAAAAAACTACAAAGAAGCTATCTGTGTAACTGCTTGGTGATCTGTGAATTTATCTCTCAGAGTTAAACCTTTCTTTTGATTCAACAGATTGGAAACATTCTTTTGGTAATATTTGTGAAGGAACATTTGGGAGCCCATTGAGGCCTATAAGGAGAAGCCGAATATTTTCAGATAAAAACTGGAAAGAAACCACCTTTAAAACTGCTTTGTGATGTGCGGATTCAGCTCACAGAATTAAAACTTTCTATTGATTCAGCAGGTTGGAAACACTTTATTCATAGAATCTGTGAAATGATATTTTTGAGTCTAATGAAGCCTAATGGAAAAAAAACTGAATTTTCTCAGATAAAAACTTGAAAGAAGCTATCTGTGAAACTACTTTGTGATGTGTGGATTCATCTCAGAGAGTTAAACCATTCTTTTGACTTAGCAGGTTGGAAACCCTTTTTGGAGAATATACGAAGGGATATTTTTGAACCCATTGTAACCTATGGAAAAAAAAAACAATTATCCCCAGATAAAAACTAGAAAGAATCTATCTGTGAAGCTGATTTATGATGTGTGGATTCATCTCACAGAGTTAAACCATTCTTTTGATTCAGCAGTTTGGAAATACTCTTTTTTGGAGAATCTGTGAGTGGACATTTGGAAGCCCACTGAGGCCTACTTGGAAAAACTGAATATCTCCAGATGAAAACTAGAAAGAAGCCATCTGCAAAACTTGTTTGTGATGTGTGGATTCGTCTCACAGAGCTAAACCTTGCTTTTGATTCAGCATGTTGGAAACACTCTTTGTGGAGAATCTACAAAGGGACATATGGGAGGACTTTGAGGACTATGGGGAAAATCAATATCCCCAGAAAAAAACTGAAAAGAAGCCATCTGTTAAACTGCTTTGTGATGTGTGGATTAACCTCACGGTATTAAATGTGTCTTTTTATTCTGCAGGTTTGAAACATGCTTCTTCTAGAATCTACAAAGTGACATATGGGAACTCATAGGGCCTATATCGAAAAAATGAATATCCTCAGATAAAAACAAGAAAGAAGGTCTCTGTGAAACTGCTTTATGATGTGTGGATTCTTTTCACAGACTTAAAATTTTCTTCTGTTCAGGAGGTTGTAGTAGCCCATTGAGGCCTATGTTGAAAAACAGAATATCCCCAGATAAAACTAGAAAGAAGACATCTGTGAATCTTCTTTGTGATGTGTGGATTCATCTTACAGAGTTAAACCTTTCTTTTGATTTAGCAGGTTGGAAACACTCTTTTTGGAGAATCTGAAAAGGTACAGTTGGGAACTCATAGTTGACTGCAAGGATAGATCAAATATCCTCAGATAAAAATTAGAAAGAAGCTATCTGTGAAATTGCTTGGTAATGTGTGGATTCATCTTGCAAAGTTAAATATTATTTTTAACTCAGCAGGTTGGAAAGACTCTTTTTGTAAAACATGCAAAGGAACATGAGGGAGCCCACTGAGGCTTAGAGGAAAAATAGAATACCCCCAGAGAAAACTAGAAGGAAGCTATCTGTGAAATTGGTTTGTGATGTCTGGATTCATCTCACAGAGTTAAAACTTTCTTTTGAATCAGCAGGTTGGAGACACTATTTTACTAGAATCTCAAAGGTACACTTGGAATCTCATTGAGGCCTATGGGGAAAAACAGAATATCCCCAGAGAAAAAGTAGAAAGAGATTATCTGAGAAACTGCTTTGTGATGTGTAGATGTATCACACAGAATTAAATATGTCATTTCATTCAACAAGTTGGAAAGGCTCTTTCTGGAGAATCTGAGAAGGGACATTTTGGAGCCCTTTGAGATCTATGGGGAAAAACTGAATATCCCCAGATATAAACTAGAAACAAGCTGTCTGTGAAACTTTCTTGTGATGTGTGGATTCATCTTACAGAATTAAACCTTTCTATGATTTAGCAGGTTAGAAACATTCTTGTTGGAACATCAGCAAAAGGACAGTTTGTAGCCCATTGAGGCCTATGAGGAAAAACCAAATATCCCCAGATAAACACTAGAACGAAGCTATCTGTGAAAGTGCTTTGTGATGTGTGGATTCATCTCACAGACTTAAGACGTTCTTTTGATTCAACAGTTTGGAAATACTCTTCGGAGAATATGCGAAGGGACAGTTAGGAGCCCATTGAGGTCTATGAGAAAAAAGCAAATATCCCTGGTAAAACCTATAAAGAAATTATCTGTGAAATGGCTTTGTGATGTGTGGATTCATCTAACAGAATTAAACTTTTCTTTTGATTCAGCAGGTTGGAAATACTGTTTTTGGAGAATCTGTGAAGGGACATTTGGGAGCCCATTGAGGCCTATGGGGAAAACTGAATATCTCCGGATAAAAACTAGAAAGAAGCTATCTTTGAAACTGGTTTGTCATGGGAGGATTCATCTCAGAGGGTTACCCTTTCTTTCGATTCAGCAGGTTGGATATGCTTTTTTAGAGAATCTGCAAAAGATGTTTTCAATCCCATTGAGGCCTGTTGGAAAAATCGAATACCCCTAGATGAAAACTAGAGAGTACCTATCTGTGCAACTCATTTGTGATGTGTGGATTCATCACACAGACGTAAAACTTTGTTTTGATTCAGGAGGTTGGAAACAGACATTTTGAAGAATCTGCAAGGAAACTTTTGGGAGTCATTGAGGCTTATGAGTAAAAAGTGAATATCCCTAGATAAAAAATAACAACAAACTACCAGTGAAACTGGTTTGTGTTGTTTGGATTCATCTCATAGATTTAAATCTTTCTTGTGATTCAGCTAGTTGGAAACACTTTTTTTTTTTTTTGGATAATTATTGAAGGGATATTTGGGAGCCCTTTGAGTCCCATGAGGTAAAACAGAATATCCCCAGGTAGAAACTAGAAAGCATCTATCTGGGAACTGCTCTGTGATGTGTGGATTTATCTCACAGAGTTCAAACTTTCTTTTCATCAAGCAGGTTGGAAACTCTTATTTTGCAGAATCTTCTAAGGGGTAATTTGGAGCCTGTCGTGGCCTATATGTAAAAACCGAATATTTCCAGATGAAAAATACAAAGGAACAATCTGAGAAACTGCTTTGTTATGTGTGGATTCATCTCACAGAGTTAAATCTTTCTTTTGATTCCTCAAGTTGAAAACTCTCTTTTTGGAGAATTTGCAAAGGGACACATGTGATCTCATTAAGGCTGATGGGTAAAAACCAAATATCACCAGATTAAAAAAAGAAAGAAGCTATCTGTGAAACTGCTTTGAGCTGTGTGGATTCATCTCTCATAATTAAACCTTTCTTTTGATTCAGCAGGTTGGAAACACTTTTTTGGAGAGTTTGCAAAAAGACATTTGGGAGATGATTAAATCCTATAAGTTAAAATCGAATATCCCCAGATGAAAACTAGAACAAAGGTATCTGTGAAACTTCTTTGAATGTGTGGATTCCTCTCAAAAGAGTTAAACCTTTGTTTTGATCCAGCAGATTGGAAACATAATTTTTGTAGAATCTGTGAAGGGACATTCGGGAGCCCATTGACATCTATAATTAAAAACAAATATCCCCAGATAAAAACTAGAAAAAAGCTATCTGTGAAACTGCTTTCTGATGTGTTGATTCGTCTCACAGATTTAAATTTTCTTTTGATTCAGCAGGTTGGAATCACTCTTTTTGGAGAATCTGCGAAGGGACATTTGAGACTCCATTGAGGCCTATGGGGAAAAATCAAATATTTACAGGTAAAACCTAGAAAGAATCTGTCTGTGAAACTGCTTTGTGTGTAGCACTCATCAGACCCAACACCAGATTGTGGGCATGATGACGTCTGTCAGAGTGAATGGAATGAGAAAAAGACATGCAAGCCCTGCCTCAGCTCCTCCCAACACTTAGCTTTTCTCCCACCATGCCCCCCTTCGTTTTTGTAAAAACTACCAAAGCTGTCATTATTATTATCATAAGGTGTCCTTGTTTTTAAATTAATTGAGTAAGACAATTGCAGGCTGTCCAGCCCTTAATTGCCAGTTGATGATCCAGCTTCATTTTTCTTAGCCCTTATTCAAAATGGAGTCTCTGGTTTGAATGCTTCCTATATATCTCCCCTTTCCCTTTTACAAGAGGACCCTTAATCCTAGGGGTTGCAGGAGGATGAAGGTCCATCTTCTGTAACTTCTTCATGCTGAATAGGGGCATTGATACTCCTGCCTACATATTTGTGTCTCTTGTATTCAGGGTAGAGAGGAGTTCAGTAAGAAAGCATTGGTCTGTCAAGCGTCTGCAGGTAAAATCTTGCATTCCAGTGGTTTCTCAGCATGGCTCATACTGGGGAAACCCGGTCCATGGTTGGGATCCATGGGTCCTTCCAGTCTCCTGTTCCATGGTCATACACGTCTTGAGGGCATCTACATGGTTTGTTTATCTTCTGCAAAAACACAAGCATACCCTCACCCTCACGTTAGTAAATCTACTGAAACAAAAGCAAAAGCTTTGCTGGCTGTAGCCTGGAGGCATGCCATTGCTGAAGCATTTGTAACTCAGCTTCTGCCTCTTTGGTTAATTACTGCAGGGTAAGACTTACCATTGATAATGAGAAGCAGGCCCCTTCTAACAGAAGGCACAGAGAAACCAAATCAAGGCTTAAAAGCAATCATTAAACCTCCTATTTGCCCTGTACAGTTGGGTCCACTAGATGCTGTGGCTCCTGATAGATTTTCAGATGTTGGATGGGCACCCATACAGGCACCTGATTATCACCTGGAGAGACACAAACAAATCCTCTTCCTCATAAAATTATCTTTCCTTTTTCCCAGCTCTTCGTATATGCATAACTCCACCATATATCTTGTCCAGCCTTTTTATTTTCCTTTCATTCTGTCAGGTGTTGTTCAGCTGCAGTCATGGGTTGACCTTTTTGAAAATAAGAAAAAAATAATGTTAATAAAGCTAAATGCAATTGCATATGTGGTGTCTTATATTCCTGGTCCCCTCACTTTTGCTGTTGTATTTGAGTTTTTAAAGCAGTATTACTCTTTCCACTATTGCTTGTCCTTGTAAGTTATATAGAATACCTATAATATGGGTAATATTCCACTGTTGAAAAAATGTAGCCATGGTTTACTACAGTATCCTGGGCCATTATTGGTTTTGATTTTTTTCTGGGATTCCTATAACTGAAAAGCAAGATAAAAGGTGTCTTTTAACATGAGCTGTGGCTTTCCCTGTTTGACATGTGGCCCAAATAAAATGTGAATAGGTATCTACTGAAACGTGAACAAAGGACAATTTTCCAAAAGCAAGAATATGTGTACCATCCATCTGCCACATGGAATTTGGAGATAAACCTCTAGGGTTAACTCCTGTTCACTGATGTGGCAGATGCAGGACTTGGCAGGCAGAAAAGTGTTGCACAATTTCTTTAGCTAGTTTTCATGATAGATCATGTATTTTTCGAAGACATATATATGCAAAACAAACATATTGCTGTGGAAGACCTACAAATCCATCAGAAAAAAACAATAATGACCCCTTCAACAGGGGCTTTTTGAGTAATAGAAGGCAATATCCAGGATGTTTATTTTAGAAACTGGAAGATTTTACACTTAGGATAATGACTATGAAAAATGCCAACAAAACCAGCCAAATTAAGCAGACTTTCTTGGGAATTAATATAGGCTTGTTGAATTTTTTGTTTTGTTAATGGAACTATAATCTGATTTGGATCATATCTCATTAATTTTGTTAACTAATGGAGCAGTAAGTTTTTCAGCTAATTTATTTTCTCACCCATTAAGGGGAAAGAGAGCAAGTGGCCATTCAATTAATTCACTGGATGTAGCTGACAGGCTAGTAAAATAAGCTTTTTTTTTAGTTTGCCTTTCTTTTCTTTAATCTCCTCCAGTATCTGTTCCTCATGCTCAGAGCCTGAAGTCAGTTTTTTACACTCATCCTCCTCTTGCTCATTGGAATCTACCTCATCATCTGTTTGAAATGGCTCAAGAGCTGTTTTTATTAGTGCCCACATTGACCAAATGGAAACTGGAATTTCTGCTCCATCTTTATACGCTTCTTTAAAATATCTTACAATTCTCTCCCATTCATCCAACTCCATTTTCTCTTGTTCAGGAAACCATTGGCAAAACTGCTTTACTGTACTAAAGAGTGATAAAAAGTTCTGATTACTAACTTTCTCTCCTCCTCTTCGTAATAAATGTCTTAAGATATTTAAATAAGCAGAATGTCTGCTTTCACCTTCTCCCATTTATACCCAAATTCTTCCAAGTGCTCAGCTTACCACGGGGCTTCTGTTAGATGTCTTCAGGTGTCCTTTGAAGATGTGTCCTCTGCTTTCACACTCTCTAGCATTCCTTCATCGGGGTCTTTGTCACCCCACTTTTCTTAGGCAGGGATGCTGGGATGATCAGACCCAAAACCAGGCCATGGGGGTGGCGACGTCTGGCAGAGTCAAATAAATGAGAGAAAGACAGTTTGAGACACAAAGTGTGACAAGGGGGCTATTGTGAGTGCAAAGGCTGCAAAGGCCCCGAGCTCTGGGAGTCCAAACTATTGACTGGTGCACAAACAAACCAACAGGTTGTGAAGAAGTGGGGGTTGAAATGAAACAGCATATCATCTGAATGAGTAACATATTTCTGCTTGAGATAATGGGAGTGCAAAAGGCAAGGAGCAAGCAAGCCTAGGAGACATGCAAGGCCTGCCTCAGCTTCTCTCCCAACACTCAGCTTTTCTCCCAACATTGTGTTGTGTCGATTCCTCTCACAGAGGTAACCTATTCTTTTGATCCAGCATGTTGGAAACACTATTTTTGGAGAAACATTGAAGGAACATTTGAGAGCCCATCAAGGCCTATGGGTAAAAACAGGATATCCACAGATAAAAACTAGAAGGAAGCTATCTGTGAAACTACTATGTAATACGTGGATTCATCTCACAGAGTCAAATCTTTCTTTTGATTCAGCATATTGAAACCACTCTTTTTAGAGAATATGCAAATAAATACTAGGGAGATGTTTAACGCCTATGGCAAAAAACAAAATATCCTCACATAAAAACTAGGAAGAGCCATCTGTGAAACAGCTTTGTGATATATGGATTCATCTTACAGGATTAAAGCTTTTTTTTTTTTTTTTTTTATTCAGCAGGTTGCAAACACTCTTTTTGTAGAATTTGTGAAGGGACATTTTGGAGCCCATTGACGCCATTGGGAAAAAACAAATATACCCAGACAAAAACTAGAAAGAAACTATCTGTGAAACTTCTTTGTGATGTGTGGATTCATCTCAAAGAGGTAAATTTTTTGGATTCAGCAGTTTGGAAACACTCTTTTTTTTTTTTTTTTTTTTTGAGACAGAGTCTTGCTCTTTCTCCCAAGCCGGAGTTCAGTGGTGCTATCTTGGCTCACTGCAAGCTCCTCCTCCTGGGTTCACGCCATTCTCTGGCCTCAGCCTCCTGAGTAGCTGGGACTACAGTCACCCACCACTGCACCTGGCTATTTTTTTGTATTTTTAGTAGAGACGTGGTTTCACCATGTTAGCCAGGATGACCTCGATCTCCTGACCTCATGATCCACCCACCTTGGCCTCCTAAAGTGCTAGGATTACAGGCATGAGCCACCTCACCTGGCCTGTAAACACTCTTTTTGGAGAATCTGCAAAGAGAAATTTAAGAGCCTATTAAGAACTATAAGGATAAACTGAATATTCCCAGATAAAAACTTGAAAAAAACTATCTGTGAAACTGCTTGGTGATGTGTGGATGTATCTTACAGAGTTAAACCTTATTTTTGATTAAGCACTTTGGAAACACTCTTTTTTGGAGAATCTGCAGAGGGACATTAGGGAGCCCATTGAGGCACATGAGGATAAACTGAATAAACCCGGATAAAAACTACAAGGAAGCTATTGGTGAAAATGCTTTGTGATGTGTGAATTTATCCCACTGAGTTAAACCTTTCCTTATATTCATCAATTTGGAAACGATCTTTCTGGAGAATCTGAGAAGTGACATTTTGGTAGTCATAGAAGCCTCTGGGGAAAAACCTAATATTCCCAGTTAAAAACTAGAAAGATGCTATCTGTGAAACTGCTTTGTGTTGTGGAGATTCATCCTACAGGGTTAAAGCTTTCTTCTGATCCGACAGTAGGAAACACCCTTTTTGGAGAATCTGCAAAGGAACACTTAGGAGCCCATTGGGAAAAACTGAAGAACCCAAGATAAAACTTAGAGAGAATCTATCTGTGAAATCACTTTGGGATGTGTGGATTCATCTCACAGAAATAAGACTTTCTTTTGATTCAGCAGGTTGGAAACGCTCATTTTAGAGAATCTGCTAAGGGAAATTTTGGAGCCCATTGTGGCCAACGGATAAAAACTGAATATTTCCAGGTAAAAACTATAGAGAAGCTATCTGTGAAACTGCTTTGTGTTGTGTCAATTCATCTCACAGAGTTAAACGTTTCTTATGATTCAGCAGGTTGGAAAAACTTTTTTAGCAGAATCTGTGAAGGGACATTTGGGAGTAGTTTGAGACCTATGGTGAAAAATGGAATATCCCCAGATAATCACTAGAAAGGAGCTATCTGTGAAACTGCTTTGTGATGTGTGGATTTATCACAGAGAGTTAAACGTTTTTCTGATTCAGCAGGTTGGAAACACTCTTTTGTAGAATATGCAAACGAACTTTTGTGAAACCATTGATTGCTATGGGGAAAAACGGGATATACCCAAATAATAACCAAAAAGAAGCTATCAGAGAAACTGCTTTGCGATGTGTGCTTTCCTCTCCCGGAGATAAATTCTTTCCTGTTGATGCAGCAAGTTGGAAATACTATTTTTGAAGAATCTGCGAGGAGATATATGAGAGCCCATTGAAGCCAATGGGGAAACACATAATATCCCCAGATAAAAATTCAAAAGAAGCTATCTGTGACACTGCTTCAGGATGTGTGGATTCTTCTCACAGGATTAATTCTTCCTTTTCATTCACCAGGTTGGAAGCACTCCTTTTCCAGAATCTGTGAAAAAAAACTTAGGAGCCCATTGAGGGCTAAGGGGAAAAACTAAATATCCCCAGATAAAATTTTGAAACTGCTTTGTGATGTGTGGATTCATCTCACAGAGTTAAACCATTGTTATAATTCAACAGGTTGTAAACGCTCTTTTTGGAGAATTTGCAAGTGAACATTTTGCAACCTATTGTGGCCTATAAGGAAAAACTTATTATCCCCAGATAAAAACTAGAAAGAAGCTATCTGTGAAACTGCTTTGTGATGTGTGGATTTTTCTGACACAGTTAATACTTTTTTTTCATCTAGCAGGCTTGAAACAGTATTTTTGTAGAATCTGTGAAGGAAAATTTTTTGGCTCATTGAGCCCTAAGGGAAAAACCAATATACACAGACAAAAACTATAATGAAGTTTTCTGTGAAACTACCTTGGGATTTGTGGATTCATCTCACAGAGTTAAAACTTTCTTTTCATTCAGCAGCTTGGAAACCCTTGTTTTACAGAATCTGTGAAGGGACATTTGGAAGCCCATTGAGACCTAGGAAAAGAACAAATATCTTCAAGGAAAAACTAGTAAGAAGCTATCTATGAAACTTCTTTGTGATGTGTGAATTCCTCTCTGAGAGTTAAAGTTTTATTTTTAATCACTAGGTTGGAAACACTCTTTTTGGAGAATATGTGAAGGGACATTAGGGGGTCATTGAGGCCTAAGGGGAAAAACTGAATATCCCCAGATAAAAACTAGAATGAAATTGTCTGTGAAACTGCTTTGGGATGTGTGGAATCTTCTGACAGTGTTACACCTTTTTTGATTCAGCAGGTTGGAAACACTCTTTTTGGAGTCTCTGCTAAGTGATAAAAACTAGAAAGAAGCTATCTGTGAAACTGATTTTTGACATGTTGATTCATCTCACAGAGTTAAAACTTTATCTTGATTAAGCAGAAGATAAATACTTTTTTTGGAATATCTGTGAGGGGACATTTGGGAACCCAATGAGACCTATATGGAAAAACAAAATACACCAGATAAAACTAAAATGAAGCTATTTGTAAAATTGCCTGTGATGTGTGGATTTCACCTCACAGAGTTGAACCTTTCTTTTGATTCAGCAGGTTGGAAACACTGTTTTTGGAGAATCTTTGAATAAATATTTGGGAGTCCATGGGTGTGTAAAAGGCAAAACCAATATCCAAAGATAAAAAGTAGAAAGAAGCTATCTGTGAAACTCCTTTGTGATGTGTGGATTCATCTCACAGAGTTAAACCTTTGTTTTGATTCAGCGGGTTGGAAACACACTTTTGGAGAATCTGCAAAGGGACACTTGGCAGCTCATTGAGGTCCATGGGGAAAAACAGGATATCCCCAGATAGAAACTAGAAAGAAGCTATCTGTGAAACTCTTTTTTGATGTGTCGATTTATCTCAGAGTGTTAACACATTTTTGTGATTCAGCAGGTTGGAAACATCAGTTCTGTAAAACGGTGAAGGGAAATTTTGGACTCCATCGAGGTTTATGTTTAAAATTGCATATCCCCAGATAAAATCTAGAATGAAGTTATCAGTGAAACTGCTTTGTGATGTGTGGATTCATCTCACAGAGTTAAAACTTTATTTGATTCAGCAGGTTGGAAACACACTTTTTGGTGAATCTGCAAAGGTACATTTTAGAGCAGATTGAGGCCTATGCAGTACAACTGAATATCCCCAGGTAAAAACTGTAAAGAATGTATCTGTGAAATTGCTTTGTGATGTGTGGAATTATCCCACAGAGTTAAAACATTTTTTGAGTCAGTACGTTGGAAACACTCTTTTTGTAGTATTGTGAAGGGACCTTTGTGAGCCCATTGAGGCCTATGGGGAAAAACAGAATATCCCAGATAAAAACTAGAAAGAAGTTATCTGTAGAACTGTTTTTGATGTGTGCATTCATCTCACGGAGTTAAACCTTTCTTTTGACTCAGGAGGTTGGAAACACTTTTTTTTGGAGAATCTGGGACTAGACATTTTGGAGTCCATATTGGTATACTTGAAAAAAAATGAATATCCTCACACAAATCTAGACAGAGACTCTCAGTGCAATTTCTTTGTGATGTTTTAAGAAAAAAAAAAAACAAAAACAAAAATAAAGCTACCTGTTAAACTGTTTTGTTTTACTTGGATTAATCTCAAAGAGTTAAACCTTTCTTTTGATTCAGTGGGTTGGAAACATCTTATTAGAGAATCTGTGAAGGTACATTTGGGAGCATATTAAGTCCTGCAGGTTGGAAACCCTCTTTTTGGAGAATCTGTGGAAGGACACATGGGAGCCCATTGAGACCTATGGGGGAAAAAAAAATCTCCTGATAAAAACTAGAAAGAAGTTATCTGTGAAGGAGCTTTGTGATGTTTGGATTCATCTCATAGAGTTAAACCTTTCTTTAGATTCAGGACATTGGAAACACTCTTTCTGGAGAATCTGCAAAGGAACATTTGTGATCCCAGTGGGGCCTGTGGGGAAAAACTGAATATCCCCAGATAAAAACTGGAAAGAAGCCCTGTGTGAAACTGCTTTCTGATGTATGGATTCCTCTCACAGAGTTAAACCTTTCTTTTGATTCATCACGTGGCAAAAACTATTCTTGTAAAATGTGTGAATGAAAGTTTTGAAGCTTTTTGAGGCCTACAGGGAAAAACAGAATATTTGCAGATAAAAGCCAGAAATAACCTATTGGTGAAATTCTTTCATGAAGTTTGGATTCCTCACACAGAGCTAAATTTTTCTTTTTATTCATCAGCTTGGAAATTCTCTTTTTTGAGAATCAGCAGGGAGATATTTGGGAGCCCATTGAGGACTATGGGGAAAAACTGAATATCCCAAGATAAAAACTAGAAAAGAGCTATCTGTGCATCTGTTTTGTGATGTGTAGATTCTTCTCACAGGGTTAAACCTTACTTTTGAATCAGCAGGTTGGAAACCCTCTCTTTTTGTAGAATCTGCCATGGGGCAGTTTGGAACCTTTTGAATCTGATGAGGAAATATCGAATATCCCTAGATACAAACTAAAAAGAAGCTAACTGTAAAACTGCTTTGAAATGTGTGGATTAACCTCACAGAGTAAGAACTTTCTTTTGTTTCAGCAGGTTGGAAACACTCTTTTTGGAGAATCTGCGAAGGTACATTTTAAAGCCTTTAGAGGCCTAGACAAAAACAGAATATCCCCAGATGAAAACGAGAAAGAAGCTCTTTGTGGAACTGCTTTGGGATGTGTGGATTCAACTCACAGAGTTAAACATTTCTTTTGATTCAGAAGGTCAAAAAACTGTTTTTGGATAATCTGCAAAGGGACATTTGGAAGCCTAATGAGTCCTACAGTGCAAAACGGAATATCCCAAGATAAAACTAGAAAGAGGCTATCCATGAAATTGGTTTTTGATGTGTGGATTCACCTCACAGTGTTCAACCATTCTTTGGTTTACCAGGCTGGAAACAGTCTTTCTGGAGAATCTGCAAAGGGACAAATGGGAGCCAATTGAAGCCAACGGGGAAAAACCAAATATCCACACATTAAAACTAGAAAGAAGCTATCCATGAAACTGCTTTATGATGTGTGGATTCCTCTCACAAAGTAAACCATTCTCTTGATTCTGTAGCTTGGACACACTATTTTTGTAAAATCTGTGAAGGGAAATTTGGAAGCCAATTGAGGCCTATGGGTAAAAGTGAATATCCCCAGATAAAAACAAAGAAAATGTTATTTTTGAAACTGTTTTGTGATGTTTGGATTCATTGCAAAGTGGTAAATCTTTCTTTTCATTCACTACATTGGAAACTCTCTTTTTGGTGGTTCTGCGAGTGGACACTTGTGAGTCCATTGTGCCTTGTGGGGAAAATTTGAACATCCCAGATAAAAACTACTAAGAAGCTATCCATGAAACTTCTTTGTGATGTGTGGATTAATATCACAGAATTAAAACTTTCTTTTTATTCAACAGGTTGGACACACTGTTTTTGGAGAATTTGCAAAGGGACATTTGGGATCCTATTGAGGCCTATGAAGAAAAATGGAATATCCCCAGATAAGAACTAGGAAGAAGGTATCTGAGAAACTGCTTTGAGATGTGTGGATTCATCTCACAGGGTTAAATATTTCTTTTAATTCAGCAGAATCTCATTTTGCAGATTCTATGATGTGACATTTGAGAGCCCTTTGAGGCCTATGGAAAAAACAAAATAAACCACATAAAAACAAGAAAGAAGCTATTTGTGTAACTGCTTTGTGATGTGTGTTGGTCTCACAGGGTTAAATCTTTCTTTTGATTCAGCAGGTGTGATGTGTGCATTTATCATACAGAGATAAAACTTTCTTTTGATTCAGCCAGTTGGGATCACTCTTTTTGGAGAATCTGTGAAGGGACATTTGGGAGCCCATTGATGCCTATGGGGAAAAGCTGAGAATCCCCAGATAAAAACTAGAAAGAAGCTATCTGTGAAACTGTTTTGTGATGTGTGGATTCATCATGCAGAGATAAACCTTTCTTTTGATTCATCTGGTTGGCATCACTCTTTTTGGAGAAATCTGGGGGACATTTGGGAGCCCATTTTGGCCTGTGGGGAAAAAACAAATATTACCAGATAAAAATTAGAAAGAAGCAATCTGTGCAACTGCTTTTGATGCATGGATTTATTCTTTCAGCAGGTTAGAATCACTGTCTTGGTGAATCAGCAAAGGGACATTTGACAGCCCTGTTTAACCTATGGGGAAAAGGTGAGTATCCCCAGATAAAAAGTAGAAAGAAGCTCTCTGTTAAACTGCTTTGTGATCTGTGGATTCTGTTCACAGATTTAAACCTTTGTTTTCATTCATCAGGTTGTAAACACTCTTTTTGGAGAATCTGCATAGAGACATTGGGAGCCCATTGGGTCCTATGGGGAAAAACTGAATATCCCCAGATAAAAACTAGAAAGAAGTTATCTGTGAAACTGCTTAGTGAAGTGTGGATTCATCTCACAAAGTTAAACCTTTTTTTTTCTTTCAAAAGGTTATAAACACTTTTTTGAATTATGTGCAAAAAATTATGTGAGACAATTGAGGCATAAGGGGAAAAGATGAAAATTCCCAGATAAAAATTAGAAGGAGGCTTTTTGTAAAAGATTTGTGAAGTGCAGATTAATATAACAGATTTAAACCATTCTTTTGAAAGAGCTGGTTGGAAAAACTCTTTTTAAAGATTCTGTGAATGGACATTTAGAACCCCATTGAGTCCTATGGAGATAATCCAAATATCCCCAGATGAAAACTGGAAAGAAGCTATGTGTGAAACTGCTTTGTGATGTATGGATTCATCTTACAGATTTAAAACTTTTCTTTGATTCCACCGATTACAAACACTCTTTTTGTAGTGTCTGAAAAGGGACATTTTGGAGACTATAGAGGCATAGGGGAAAAAAATATCCCAAGATAAGAACTAGAAATAATTTATCTGTGAATCTACTTTTAGAAGTGTGCATTCATCTCACACAGTTAAACATTTCTTTTGATTCAGCAGGTTGGAAAAACTCTTTTTGCAGGATCTGCAAAAGGGCATTTGGGATCCCATTGAGGCCTATCAGGAAAAAACAGAATATCCCCAGATAAAGACTAAAAGGAAACTGTCTGTGAAACTGCTTTGTGATGTGTGAATTCATCTCACAGAGTTACACCATTCTTTTTATTCAGCAGGTTGGAAACACTGTTTTTGGAGCTTCTGCGAAGGGACATTTTGTAGCCCATTGAAGCTTATGGGAAAAATCTGAACATCCACAGATAAAAACTAGAAAGTATTAATCATTAAAGCTGCTATGAGATGTGTGGATTCATCTCACAGAGTTAAAGATTGCTTTTGGTCAAGCAGGTTGGAAACACTCTTTTTGAAGAATCTGTGATGGGACATTTGGGAGCCTGTTGAAGCCTATGAAGAATAACTGAATATGCCCAGATAAGAACTAGAAAGAAGCTCTCTTACAAACTGCTTTGGGATGTGTGGATTCATCTCAAAGAGTTAAATCCTTCTTTTAATTCAGCAGATTATACATACTCTTTTTATAGAATTTATGAAGGCATATTTCAGACCTCATTGAGGCCTAAGGGAAAAAAAGAAGTATACCCACATTAAAATTCTACTTTGTGATTCATGTATTCATCTCACAGAGTTGAACCCTACTTTTGATTCAGCAGGCTGGCAACACTGTGGAGAACATGCAAAGGGACATTTGGGAGCCACAATAGGCTTACAGGGAAAAATTCAAATATCTTCAGATATAAACTGGAAAGAATCTATCTGTGAAATGGCTTTGTGGTGTGTGGATTAATCTCACAGTTTTAAACCTTTCTTTTGGTTTAGCGTGTTGAAAACACTCTTTTTGTAGAATCTGTGAAGAGACATTTGGGAAACCATTGTGGCCAATGGGGGAAAAAAGGAATAGCCTAAATAAAAACTAGAAAGAATTTACCTTAAAACTACTTTGTAATGTGTAGATTCGTCTCACAGATTCAAACATTTCTTTTGATTCAGCTGGTTGGAAACATTGTTTTTGGAGAATCTGTGAAGGGACATTTTGGTGCCCATTAACACCTATGGGGAAAAACTGAATATACCCTAACAAAAACTAAAAAGAATTTCCCTATGAAACTGCTTAGCGTTGTGTGGACTCATCTCACAGACTGAATCCTTTCTTTTGATTCAGCCAGTTGAAAACACTCTTATTGTACACTCTGCGAAGAGACATTGAAGTGTAGCCCCCAAAAACTGAATATTCCCAGATAAAAACTAGAAAGAAGCTGTCTGTGAAACTGCTTTGTGATATTTGGATTCAGCTACAGAAATAAACATTTATTTTGATTCAACAGGTTGGAAATAGTCTTTTGGAGAATTTTCCAAGAAACATTTGGGAGCCCATTGATGTTTGTGGAAAAACCGAATATCCCCTGATAAAAACTAGAAAGAAGGTATCTATGAAAATGCTTTGTGATTTGTGGATTCATCTTATAAATTTAAACCTTTCCTTTGATTCAACAGATTGGAAACACACTTTTATAGAATCTGCAAAGGGAAATGTGGTAGGCATTTGAGACCTATTTGAAAAAATTGAATATCCCCAGATAAATATTGGAATGAAGCTGTCTGTGAAACTGCCTTGTGATGTGTGGATTCATCACACAGAATTAAAACTTTCTTTTATTTAGAGGATGGAAACACTCTTTTTCTAGCATCTGTGAAATGACATTTGGGAGCACATTGAGGCTTATGGGAGAAAACAGAATCTTCCCAATAAAAATTAGAAAGGAGATATTTGTGGAATGGCTTTGTGATTTGTGACATTTGGGACATTTGGGGACCCAGTGAGGCATATGAGGAAAAACTGCTTATCCCCAGATATAAACCAAAAAGAAGCTGCCTGTGAAAGTGTCTTGTTATGCGTGGATTCATATCACAGAGTTAAACCTTTCTTTTGATTCAGCAGGATGGAAACACTCTTTTTAGAGAATCCACCAAGGGACATTGCAACAATCATTGAAACCTATGGGGAAAAAAGTGAATATCCCCAGATAAAAATTAGAAAGAAGCTATTTGTGACTGTGCTTTGTGATGTTTGGATTTATCTCACAGTCTAAAATTTTCTTTTGATTTAGCAGGATGGACACACTATTTTTTGAGACTATGCAAAGGGACATTTGGGAACCCATTGAGGATTTCTGGGAAAAACTGAAAATCCCGATACAAACTAGAAAGAAGTGATCTGTGAAACTGCTTTGTAATGTGTGTATTCATCTCGCAATGTTAAAACTTTCTTCTGATTCAGCATGTTAAAAACGCTCTTTTTGGCGAATCTGTGAAGGGACATTTGATCACCCATTGAGGCTTATGGGGAAAAATTGAATAACCCCAGATAAACATATAAGAAGGTATCTGTGAAATGGCTTTGTGATGTTTGGATTCATCTTAGAGTGGATAATTTTCCTTTTGATTCATCAGATTCAGAAGACCTTTTTGCAGAATCTGTGAAGGGACATTTGGGAGCCCATTTATGCCTATGGAAAAAAAGAAAAAACAAATCTCCTCAAATAAAAACTAGAAGGAAGCTGTCTATGAAACTGCTTTTTGATGTGTGGATTCATCTCACTGAGCTATTTTTTTTCTTTTGATTCAGCAGAAGGTAAACACTCTTTTTGGAGAATCTGCAAAGACATATTTTGAAGCCCATTGAGGCTATCCAGTAAAAACTAAATATACCCAGATAAAAACTAAAAAGGCACTATCTGTAAAACTGCTTTGAGATGTATAGATTCATCTCACAGAGTTGAACCTTTCTTTGGATTCAGCAGGTTTGAAACACTCTTTTTGGAGAATCTGTGAAGAAATATTTGAGAGTACATGGATGGCTTTGGGGGTAATACAGAATGTCCACAGATAAAAATCACAAATAAGTTATCTGTGAAACTTCTTTGTGATGGGTGGATTCATCTCAAAAAGTTACAACGTTCTTTTGATTGAGCAGGTGGAGAACACTCTTTTGGAGGATAAGTGATGCTACATTTGGGAGCCCACTGAGGCCTATGAGGAAAAACTGAATATCCCCAGATAAAAACTTGAAATAAGCTATCTGTGAAGCTGCTTTGTGATGGGTAGATTCATCTCGCAGAATTAAAGGTTTTCTTTGATTCAACAGATTGCAAACACTCTTTTGGAGAATCTGTGAAGGGGCAATTTTTAACCCACTGAGGCCTAGGGGAAAAACTGGATATTCCCAGGTGAAAACTAAAAGGAAGCTAACTGTGAAACGTCTTTGTGATGTGTGAAGTTAAAACATACTTTTTATTCAGCAGGTTGGAGACTTTCTTTTTGGAGAATCTGTGAAGGGACATTTTTGGAGCCCATTGTGGCCTAAAAGGAACAACAGAATATCTTCAGGTAAAAACTAGAAAGAAGATATTTTTGAAACTGCTTTGTGATTTGTGGATTCATTTCACAGTGTTAACGTTTTCTTTTTATTCTTCGGGTTGGAAACACTTTTTATGTAGAATGTGTGAAGGGACGTTTGGGAGTTGTTTGAGGAATACAAGGAAAAACAGAGTATCTCCAGATAAAAAGTACAAGGAAGCTATCTCTGAAACTGCTTTGTGATGGGTGGATTCATCTCACAGTGATAAACTTTTATTTGATTCAGCATGATGGAAACACTCATTTTGAGAATCTACAAAGACACATTTGGGAGCACATTGACATCTAGGGAAAACAACAGAATATCCTAAGGTAAAAACAAGAAAGAAGCCATCTGTGAAACTGTTTCATGTTGTGAGGATTCATCTTACAGAGTTAAAGTTTTCTTCTTACTCAGCAGGTTGGAGACACTCTTTTTACAGAATTTGCAAATGGACTCTTGGGAGCCCATTGAGGCATATGGAAAAAAATGGAATATCCCCAGATAATTATTAGAAAGAAGTTATCTGTGAAACTGCTTTGAGGTGTGTGGACTTCTCTCACAGAGTTAAACATTTCTTATGATTTCACAGGTTAAAAACACTCTTTTTGGAAAATATGCAACAAGACATTTTGTAGCCCATTGAGGCCTATGGAAAAAAACAGAATAATCCCAGATAAATACTAGAAAGAAGCTGTCTGGGAAACTGCTATGTGATGTGTGGATTCATCTCACAGAGGAAAACTTTTTTTGATTCAGCAGGTTGGAAACACTCTTCCTGGAAAAATATGCCATGGGACATTTGGGAGCCCTTTGTGGCATATGGGGAAAAACAGAATATCCACAAATAAAAGTAGAAGTAAGCTGTCTGGGAAACTGCTTTGTGATGTGTGGATTTATTTCACAGTGTTAAAACATTCTTTTGATTCAGCAGGTTGGAAACACTCTTTTGGAGAATCTGCGAAGGGACAAATTGTAACCCGCTGAGGCCTCTGGGCAAAAACTGAATAGCCCCAGATAAAAACTAGAAGGAGGTTATCTGTGAAAAGGCTTTGTGACGTGTGGATTAATCTCACAGCATTAAATCTTTCTTATGATTCACAAAATTGCAAATGTTCTTTGAAGAATCTGTGAGGGGACATTTAGGAGCCCATTGAGTCCTACTGGGAAAACAGAATACCTCAAATAAAAACTAGAAAGAAGCTATCTATGAAACTACTTTGTGATCTGTGGATTCTTTGCACCAAGAAAAAACTTTCTTTTGAATCAGTAGTTTGAAAAAAACTCTTTTTGTAGAATCTGTGAAGGGACATTTAGGAGTCCTTTGAGGCCTATGGGGAAAAACTGAATATCACCAGATAAAAAATACTAAGAACCTATCGGTGAAACTGCTTTGTGATGTGTCTATTCATCTCACAGAGTTAAAAATTTCTTTTGATTCAGCAGGTTGGAAACACTCTTTTTGGAGAATCTGTGAGAAAACAATTGGGGGCCCTTTGAGGCCTATGGGGAAAACCAGAATTTTCCCCAGATAAAAATTAGAAACAAAATATGTGTGAAACTGATTTGTGATGTGTGATTCATCAATCATGGTTAAGTCTTTCTTTTGATTCAGCAGTTTAGTAATACCGTTTTTGGAGAATCTGAGAAAAGACTTTTGGGAACCCATTTTGGCCTACATGGGAAAAACAAATGTGCCCAGATAAAATCTACAAAGAAGCTAAGTATGAAACTGCTTTGTGATGTGAGGATTCATCTGAGAGGTAAACTTTTCCTTTGATCAGCATGTTGGAAATACTCTTTTTAAAGAATCTTCAAAGGGAGATTTGGAAGCCCTTTGAGGCCTATGGGGAAAAACAGAGTATCTCCAAATAAACACTGCAAAGAAACTATCTGTGAAACTACTTTGCAATGTGTGGATTCAGCTAACAGGATTAAACCTTTCTTTTCATTCAGCAGGCTGGAAACACAGTTTTTGGAGAATATGCAATGGAACATTTTGGAAAGCATTGAGGCCTATGGGGAAAAATGAAATACCCCAAGATAAAAACTAGAAAGAATCTATCCATAAAATGCTTTGTGATGTGTGGATTCATCTCACAGAGTGAAACCTTCTTTGTGATTCAGCAGGTTGGAAACACCGTTTTGGAGAAACTGCTAAAGGACAATTAATAACCCATTGAGGCCTATGGGGAAAAACAATAAATTCAGATAAAAAATAGAAAGGAGCTATTTGTGAAATGGCTTTGTGATATGCGGATTCGTCTGACAGAGTTAAACTCTTTTTTTTTTAATTCAGCAGGTTGGAAGTTTTCCTTCTGGAGAATCTGCCTGGGGACTTTTTCGTGCCCATTGAGGCCTAATGAGAAAAACTGAATATCTCCAGATAAAAACTAGAATGAAGTTATCTGTGAAATTGCTTTGTGATGTGTGGATTCATCTCACAGAGGTAAAACTTTCTTTTGATTCTACAGGTTAGAACATCTCTTTTGGTAAAATCTGTGAAGGGATATTTGGAAGCCCATTGAGGCCCACAGGAAAAAACTGAGTACCCCCTGATAAAAACTAGAAGGAAGATGTCTATGAAACTGTTTTGTGATGTGTGGATTCATCTCAGAGACTTTACCTTTTCTTTTGATTCAGCAAGGTGGAAAGACTCTTTTTGTGAATCTGTGAAGGGACATTTGGGAACCTATCCAGGATTATGGAAAAAAACAGAATATCCACAGGAAAAAAAAAACGGAAATAATCTATCTGTGTCACTGCTTTTTTTTAAGTGTGGATTTGAGTTACAGAGTTACACATGTCTTTTTATTCAGTAGCTTGGAAACACTCTTTTTGGAGAATCTGTGAAGAAATATTTGGGAACCTTTTGAGGACTATGAGGACACACAGACTCTCCCCAGATAAAAACTAGAAAGAAGCTATCTGTGAAAATGCTTTGTGATGTGTGGATTCATCTCACAGAGTTAAATGTTTCTTGTCATTCAGGAGGATGAAAACACTCCTTTTTGAAATCTGTGAATGAACATTTGGGAGCTCATTGAGGGCTATGGGGATAAACAGAATATCCCCAGATGAAAAGTACAAAGAAGTTATCTGTGAAGCTAATTTTTGATATGTGGATTCATCTCACAGATTGAAACTATTCTTTTGATTCAGGGGGTTAAAAACACTTTTTTGGAGAATTAACAAAGGGACATTCTGGAGCCCATTGAAGAATATTGCATGAAACTGAATATCCCCTGATAAAACCTAGAAAGAAGCTAACTGTGAAACTGCTTTGGATGTGTGCATTCATCTCACAGAGTTAAACTTTTCTTTTGATTCAGTAGGTTAGAAACATTCTTTTTGGATCATCTGTGAAGGGACATTTGGGAGCCCACTGAGGCTTGTGGGGAAAAACTGAATATCCCCAGATAAAAATGAGAAAGAAGTTATCTGTGAAATATTTTGTGATAGGTGGATTCATGTCACAGAGGTAAACCTTTTGATTCAGCAGGTTGGAAACACTCACTTTGGAGAATCTTTGAAGGGACATTTGTTAGCCCATTTTGTTCTATGGAGAAAAACTGAATATCCCCAGATAAAAACTAGAAAGAAGATATCGTGAAACTGCTTTGTTACGTGTCAAATCATCTCACAAACTTAAATCTTTATTTTGCTTCAGCAGGTTGGTGACACTCTTTTTGGAGAATCTGAGAAAGGCCATTTTGGAGCCCATTGAAGCCTAAGGGGAGAAACAGAATATTTCCAGAAAAAAACCAGAAAGAAGCTATCTGTGAAACTGCTTGTGTTGTGTAAATTCATCTCACAGGGTTAGAATTTTATTTTCATCCAGCAGGTTGGAAACACTCTTTTTGGAGAACCTGCAAAGGGACATTAGGAGCCCGTTGAGGCCTACGGTGCAAAACCAAATATCCCAAGATAAAAACTAGAAGAAAGCTATCTGTGGAACTTCTCTGTGATGTGTGCATTCACCTCACAGAGTTTAAACTGTCTTTTGATTCATCACTGGGGAAATACTCCTTTTGGAGAATCTGAGAACGGACACTTGGGGACCCATTGAGTTCTATGGGGAAAAACCAAGTATTGTCAGATAAAAATTAAAAAGAAGCTATCTGTGAAACTACTTTGTGATGTGTGTGTTCATGTCAGAGAGTTAAACCTTTCTTTTGATTTAGCAGATTGGAAACACTTCTCCTGTGGAATCTGCGAAGGGACACTTTGGAGCCCATTGATGACAAAGAAAAAGAGAATATCCACAAATAAAAACAAGAAAGAAGCTACCTGTTAACCTACTTTTAATGTGAAGATTCATCTCACAGAGTTAAACCTTTCTTTTGATTCAGCAGGTTGGAAACACTCTATTTGGAGAACATGCAAAGGGAAAATTGGGAGCCTATTGAGGACTGTGGAGAAAAGCAGAATATCCCCAACTAAAAACTAGAAAGACGATATCTGTGGAACTACTTTAGATGTGTGGATTCATCTCAGAAAATCAAACTTTCTTTTGATTCAGCAGGTTGGAAACACTCTTTTGGAGCATCAGCAAAGAGACATTTTGGCGCTCAAGGAAACTGATGTGGAATAACTAAATATTTGCAAATAAAATCTAGAAGAAGCTATCCATGAAACTGCTTTGTGATGCGTGGATTAATCTCACAGAGTTAACTTTTTCTTCTGATTCAGCAGGTTAGAAACACTCTCTTTGTAGAAACTGTGAATGAATATTCCAGAGCCCATTGAGGCTTATGGTGAGAAACCAAATATCCCCAGTTAAAAACATAGAAAGAAGCTATCTGTGAAACTGATTTGAGATGTGTGAATTTATCTCACAGGTTTAATTTTTCCTTTGATTCAGTAGTTTGGAAACACTCTTTTGGAGAATCTGTGATAGGACATTAGTGAGCACATTGTGGCCTATCAGGAAAAACAGAATATCCACCAATAAAACCTAGAAAAAAAGCTATCTGTGAAACTTCTTTGTGATTTGTGGATTCATCACACAAGAGTAAAACTTTCTTTTGATTCAGCAGGTTGGAAACACTATTTTTGGGAAAATCTGTGAGGGACATATGAGAGAACATCGAGGGCTATGGGGAAAAATTGAATATCCCTAGATAAAAACAAGAGGAAGCCATCTGTGAAACTGTTTTGTGATGTGTGGATTCATCTCACAGTGTTCAAGTTTTCTTTTGAATCGGTAGTTTGGAAACACTCTTTTTGGAGAATCTGTGAAGGGATATTTTGGAGCCATTGAGGCTTAATGGGGAAAACCGAATATCCCCAGATAAAAACTAGAATGAAGTAATCTGTTAAACTGCTTTTGGATGAGTGGATTCATCTCAAAGGGTTAAACCTTTCTTTTGACTCAACAGGTTGGAAACACTGTTTTTGGAGAATCTGCAAAGGAGCATTTGGGAGCCCATTGTGGCCAATGGGGAAAAACAAAATATCTCCAGATAAAAACTAGAAAGAAGCTTTTGGTGAAACTACCTTGTGATGTGTGGATTCCTCTTCCAGGGTTAAAGTTTTCTTTTGAATTGGTAGTTTGGAAACACTCTTTTTCGAGAATCTGTTAAGGGACATTTTGGGGTCATTGAGGCTTAAGGGGAAAAACTGAATATCCCCAGATAAAAACTAGAATGAAGTTATCTGTGAAACTGCTTTGGGATGTGTGGATTCATATCAAAGAATTAAACCTTTCTTTTGATTCAGCAGGTTGTAAACACTCTTTTTGGAGTATCTTCTAAGGGACATTTGGGAGCCCATTGTGGCCATGGGAAAAAAACAGAATATCTCCAGTTAAAAACTAGAAAGAACCTTTGTGTGAAACTTCTTTGTGATGTGTGGATTCATCTCACAAAGATAAACGTTTCTGTTGATTCAGCAGTTTGGGAAACTCTTTTTGTGTAATCTGCAAAGGGACATTTTGGAGCCCATTGAGACCTATGGGAAAAAATAAAATTTCCTTAGATAAAAACTAGAAAGAAACTTCTGTGAAAGTATTTGTGTTGTGTGGATTCATCTCATAGAGTTAAATTTTTCTTTTGATTCAGGAGTTTGAAAACACTTTCTTTGTAAAATCTGTGAGTGAATATTCGAGAGCCCATTGAGGCCTATGGGGATAAACTGAATATCCCCAGATAAAAACTAGAAAGAAGCTATCTGTGAAACTTTTTTGTGATGTGTGGATTTATCTCACAGATCTAATCTTTCTTCTGATTCTCGAGTTTGGAAACATTCTCTTCTACAATCTGTGATAGGACATTTGGGAGCACATTGTGGCCTAGGGGAAAAACAGAATATCCCCAGATAAAAACTTGAAAGAAACTATCTGTGAAACTTCTTTGTGATGTGTTGATTCATCTCAAAGAATTAAAAATTTCTTTTGATTCAGTAGGTTGGAAAAGCTCTTTTTTGAAAATCTGCAAAGGGACATTGGAGAGCCCATTGAGACCTATGGAAAAAAACTGAATGCCGCCAGACAAAAACAAGAAGTTATCTGTGAAACTTCTTTGTGATGTGTGGATTCGTGTCAGAGTTAAAGTTTCTTTTCAAGCAGTAGGTTGGAAACACTCTTTTTGGAGAATCTGTGAAGGAACATTTGGGGCCATAGAGGCCTAAGGGGAAAAACTGAATATCCCCAGATATAAACTAGAATGAAGGTATCTGTGAAACTGCTATTGGATGTGAGGATTCATCTCAGAGTTAAAACTTTCTTTTGATTCAGCAGCTTGGAAACAGTCGTTTTATGGAAACTGTGAAGGGACATTTGGAAGCACATCGAGACCTAAGGGAAAAACAAAATATCCTCTGAGAAAAAACTAGAAGGAAGCTATCTGTGAAGCTGCCTTTGTGATGTGTGGATTCTTCTCACAGAGCTACACTATTCCTTTGATTCAGCAGGATGGAAATACTCTTTTTGTACAATTTGTGAAGGGATATTTGGGAGCCCAGAGAGGTTTAGGGGGAAAACCAAATATCCCAGATATAAACTAGAAAGAAGCTATCTGTGAAACAGCTTTTCAATGTGTGGATTCATCCCAGAGAGTTCAAACTTTTTTTTGATTCAGCAGGTTTAAAACAATCTGTTTGTAGAATCTGTGAATGGAAATTTGGGTACTCAAACAGGCCTATGGGGAAAAACTGAATATCCCCAGAAAAAAATCTAGATAGAAGCTATCTAAGAAACTGCTTTGTGATCAATGGAATCATCTCACAGATTTAAACTTTTCTTTGGATTCAGCAGGTTGGAAACATTCTTTTTGCAGAATCTGCAAGGTGACATTTGGAAGTCCATTGAGGTGAATGGGAAAAAACGAAATATTCCCAGATAAAAGCTAGAAAGAAGCTTCCTGTAAAACTTCTGTGTCATGTGTCAATTCCTCCCACAGGGTTAAACCTTTCTTTTGATTAAGCAGGTGGGAAACACTATTTTTGGAAAATCTGTGAAGGGACATTAGGGAGCGCTTTTAGGCCTATTGGGAAAAACTGAATATTCCCAGATAAAGAGTAGAAAGAAGCTCTCTGTGAAAATGCTTTGTCATGTGTACATTCATCTCACAGAGTTGAATCTTTCTTTTTGATTCAGCAGGTTGGAAACACTCTTTTTGGAGCATCTTCAAATAAATATTTGGGAATTCGTAGATGTCTAAGGGGTAAAACCAAATATCCAAAGATAAAAACCAGAAAGAAGCTATCTGTGAAACTGCTTTGTGATGTGTGTATTCATCTCACAGAATTAAACCTTTGTTTTTATTCAGCAGTTGGAAACACACTTTTGGAGAATCTGCAAAGGGACATTTCAGTGTCCTTTGAGGTCCATGGAAAAAAAAGAATATCCCCATATAAAAACTAAAAAGAAGCTATCTGTGAAACTGCTTTGTGGTGTGTGGGTTCGTCTCACAGAATTAACACTTTTTTGTTATTCAGCACGTTGGAAACATTCATTTTGTAGAATCTGTGAAGGGAAATTTGGGAGCCCACTGAGACCCATGGATAAAAATTAAATATCCCCATTTAAAAACTAGAATGAAGGTATCTGTGAAATTGCTTTGTGATGTGTGGATTGATCTCACAGAGTTAAAACATTTTTTGATTAAGCAGGCTGAAAAACTCTTTTTGTGGCATCTACAAAGGGACATTTCGGAGCCCATTGAGGCCTATGAAGAAAAACCAAATATTCCCAGGTAAAAACAGCAAAGAAAGTATCTGTGGAATTGCTTTGTGATGGGTGGATTCATCTCACAGAGTGAAATCTTTCTTTTGATTCAGCAGGTTGGAAACACATTTTTTGTAGTACCCGGTGGGATATTTGGGAGCCCATTGAGGCCTAAGGGGATAAATAGAACATTCCCAGATAAAAACTAGAAAGAAGTTATCTGTGGAACAGTTTTGTGGTGCGTGCATTTTTCTCAGAGTTAACCCTTCTTTTGACACAAGAGGTTGGAAAGTCTCTTTGGAGTATCTGTGGATGGACAGTTGGGAGCCCACTTTGTTCTACTAGAAAAAACCGAGCATCTCCAGACAAAAACTAGACAGAAGCTCTCTGTGAAATTGCTTTGTAGCATTTCAATGAAAAAATGAAAATAAAGCTACCTGTGAAACTGCTTTGTGATGTGTTCCTTAATCTCATGGAGTTAAGCCTTTCCTTTGATTCAGCTGATTGGAGACATCTTTTTGGAGAATCTGTGAAGGGACATTTTGGAGATAATTTAGACCTATTGGAAAAAAAACGAATATCTTCAGATAAAAACTAGAAAGAATCTTTCTGTGAAACTGCTTGGTAATGTGTGGATTCATCCCACAGAGTTAAAACTTTCTTTTCATTCAGCAGGTTGGAAACATTATTTTTGTTGAATCAGTGAATGGACATTCCGGAGCTCATTGTGGACTACAGGGAAAAAACAAATATCTCCAGATAAAAACTAGAAAGAAGCTATTTGTGAAACCGCTTTGTGATGTGTGGATTCATCTCACAGAGTTACATTTTTCTTTTGATTCAGCAGGTTGGAAACACTCTTTTTGGCAAAATCTTCAAATGGACATTTGGGAGCCCAGAGAAGCCTATGGGGAAAAATGGAATATCCCCAGATGAAAACTAAAATGAAGTTATCTGTGAAAGTGCTTTGTGATATGTGGATTCATCTCACAGAGTTGAACAATTCTGTTGAATCAGCAGGTTGGAGAGACTCTTTTTGGAGAATCTTCTAATAAATATTTGGGAGTGCATGGATGCCTAAAGGGCAAAACCAAATATTCAAAGATAAAAACTAGAAAGAAACTATCTGTGAAACTGCTTTGAGATGTGTGGATTCCTTTCACAGAGTGAAACCTTTATTTTGATTCAGTAGGTTGGAAACACACTTTTGGAGAATCTGCAAAGGGACATTTGGGAGCTCTTTTAAGTGTGTGGGTTAAAACTGAATATCCCCAGTTAAAAACTAGAAAGAAGCCATCTGTGAAACTGTTTTGTGATGTGTGGATTCATCTCACAAAATTAACACTTTTTTTGTGGTTCAGCACACTGGAAACATTCATTTTGTAGAATCTGTGAAGGGAAATTTGGGAACCCATTCAGGCCTATTCTTAAAAATTGTATATCCCCAGATAAAAACTAGAATGAAGCTGTCTATGAAATTGAGTTGTGATGTGTGGATTGATCCTACAGAGTTAAACTTTTTTTGATTAAGCAGGTTGGAAACACTCATTTTGTGGAATCTGCGAAGGAATATTTGAGAGCCCATTGAAGCCTATGAAGTAAAACCGAATATTCCCAGGTAAAAACAGTAAAGAAGGTATCTGTGAAATTGCTTTGGGATGTGTGGATTCATCTCACAGAGTGAAAACTTTCTTTTGATTCATCAGGTTGAAAACACTGTTTTTGTAGTGTCTGTGAAGGGACATTTGGGAGCCCCTTGAGGCCTATGGGGAAAAAACAGAATATCCCCAGATAAAAATTAGAAAGAAGTTATCTGTGAAACTGTTTTGTGATGTGTGCATCCATCTCACAGAGTTAAACCTTTCTTTTGACTCAGGAGGTTGGAAACACTCTCTTTGGAGAATCTGTAAATGGACAGTTGGGAGCCCATTTATTTCTACTTGAAAAAACCGAATATCCCCAGACAAAAACTAGACAGAAGCTCTCTGTGAAATTGCTTTGTGATGATTTAAGGAAAAAACGAAAATAAAACTACCTGTGAAACTGCTTGGTGATGTGTGGATTAATCTCACGGAGTTAAACCTTTCCTTTGATTCAGCTGATTGGAAACATCTTTTTGAGGCATCTGTGAAGGGACATTTGGGAGCATATTAAGGCCTGCAGGTTGGAAACCTTCTTTTTGGAGAATCTTCAGAGGGACTTTTGGGAGCCTGTTGAGGCCTATAAGGAAAAACTGAATATCCCTAGATAAATACTAGAAAGAAGCTATCTGTGAAACAGCTTTGTGATATGTGGATTCATCTCACAGAGTTAACTTTTCTTTTGATTCATCAGGTTGGAAACAATCTTTTTGGAGAATCTGTGAAGGGATATTTTAGAGCCCATTAAGACCTATGAGGAAAAATTGAATATACCCAAATAAAAACTAGAAAGAATCTATTTGTGAAAATAATTAGTGATGTGTGGATTCATCTTAAAGAGTTAAACATTACTTTCGTTTCAGCAGTTTGGAAACACTCTTTTTGGAGAATCTGCAAAGGGAAAGTTGAGAGCTTATTATAACCTACAAAGAAAAACTGAATATCCCAAGAAAAAATGAAAATAATCCTGTCTGTGAAACAGCATTGTTCTTTATTAATTCATCTCAGTGAAGTAATCCTTTCTTTTGTTTCAGAAATTTGGAAACCCTTTTTAGAGAATCTGCAAAGGGACATTTGGGAGCCCATTGAAGCCTATAAAGATAAACTGAATATAAATACAAAAGAAAACTAGAAAAAAAGCTATCTGTGAAACTGCTTTGTGATGAGGGGATTCATCTCACAGCGTTAAGCCTTTCCTTTGATTCAGCAGGTTAGAAACCTTTTTTTTGTAAAATCTGTGAAGGGATATTTGGGAGCCCATTAAGGATTATGTGGAAAAACAGAATAGCTTCAGATTAAAAAGTAGAAAGGAGCTATCTATGAAACTGATATGTGATGTTTCAATTCATCTGACAGAGTTAAAACTTTCTTTAGATTCAGGAAGTTGGAAACATTCTTTTTGGAGATTCTATGAAGGGACATTTGGGAGCCCTTTGAGGCCTATGTGGAAAAACAACATATGCCCAGATAAAAACTAGAAAGAAGCCTCGTTTGAAACTGCTTTCAGACGTGTGGATTCATCTCAAAGAGACAACCTTTTCTTTTGATTCAGCCAGTTGCAAAACCTCTTTTTGTAGAATGTGGCCACGGATATTTGGGAGCTTGTTGAGACCTACAGTGAAAAACCAAATATCTCCAGATAAAAACTAGAAAGAAGGTATCTGTGAAACTTCTTTGTGATGTGTGGATATGTCTCACAGAGTTAAATATTTCGTTTTATTCAGTAGCTGGGAAACATTCTTTGTAGAAAATTTTCAAGGGGACATTTGTAAGCCCATTGAGGCTTATGGAAAAAACTGAATATCCCCTGATAAAAACCAGAAAGCCGCTAACTGTGAAACTGCTTTGTCATGTGTGAATTCACCTCACAGAGTTAAACCTTTCTTTTGATTCAGCATGCTGGAAGCCCTTTTTTTTGGAGAATCTGCAAACATACATTTGGGAGCCCATCGAGGCCTATGTGGAAAAACCAAGTATCGCCTAATAAAAATGGGAAAGAAGCTACCTGTGAAACTGCTTTGCAATGTTTGGATTCATCTCACAAGTTGAATTCAACTTGTTGATTCAACAAGTTGAATCAACTTGTTGAAGTTTTCTTTTCATTTAGCACGTTGGAAAAACTCTTTTAGGAGAATCTTTTAAGGGACATGTGGTCTCCCATTGTAGCCTAATGTGAAAAGTGAATATCCCCAGTAAAAAGTAGAATGAAGTTATCTGTGAAACTGCTTTGCTATGTGTGGATTCGTCTCACAGTATTAAACCTATCTTTTGATTCAGCAGGCTGGAAACACTCTTTTTGGAGAATCTGCCAAGGGACATTTGGGAGCCCATTGAGGTCTATGGTGAAAAACAAAATATCCCCAGGCAAAAACTAGAAAGAAGCTATCTATGAAATTGCTTCTTGGTTTGTGGATTCATCTCAAAGAGTTAAACCTTCCAATTTATTCAGCAGGTTGTAAACAATCTTTTTTGAGTATCTGCAAAAAGACATTTTGGAGCTCATTTAAGCCTATGGGGAAAAACAGAATATCCCCAGATAAAAACTAGAAATCAGCTATCTGTGAAACATTTTGTGAAATTAAAGTTTTGGAAAGAGTTGGAAAGGACTTTAAAAACACGTAGAAAAGGAAGAAAATTCCTTTGACTTTTTGGTAAGTTTGGACATTGGTGCATACAGCACTGGAAGCTTTTCAGATGAGGAGGCTGAGTCATAGGAGAAGGGATAGGAGTTTGATAATCAGAACTCTGAACGGCCTCTACCAAGTGCTAGCCAAAAGGATAGTTCACAGTTAATGTATGCCAAGCTCTGTGGTCTCCCTAAACCTGCTCTGAAAATTGTTCTGCTCATGGCTCCTTCAGAGCAGTGCCCAGAAAGGCCACCTCCTCTTCAGCTGAGTGAGTGCTGGGAAAGGGAGTCCAAGACTTGGCTCACTGAGACTCAGCTCACTGCACCCACTATTGCCCGACTTGCATTTCCTCACTGTGGAGGAGCAATTTCTCTTAAAATGGATAACACAGCACGCTGTCTGGGTTGAACAGTGGCCACTCCCTAAAGACAAGTTGTGGGTGCTTTGTGAAATAGAAAACTACCAGAAAAAGGACGTATTTCACCCAATTTGTCTCCTTTGAAATCCCCAGTATCTTTAATTTAAAAAAAAACATCTAGTACATGGTGCATGCTGACTGACTTGCAAGTGGTCATCACTGTAATTCAACTGATGGCAACCTTACAGCTAGGGCTCCCATCCCCCACTATGCTCCCTAAAGACTGGCCACTTGTTATTATAGATTCAAAAGACTGCCTTCTTACAATTCCTTTGGCAGAGGCAGATTTAAAAAAATTTGCCTTTACCATCCTTACTCTTAATAACAATGAACATGCAACCAGATGTCAGTGGAAGGTTTTACCCCAGGGTATGTTAAACAGCCCCACAATTTGTCAAACTTTTGTAGGCAAGGCTAACCAGACTGTTAGAGATCAATTTACAGAGTGTTACATCATCCATTATATGGCTGACATAATATGTGCAGTAAAAAATATAGATCAACTTATTCAATATTATTCACTTTACAAAAGACAATTACAAATGCTGGATTGTTTATAGCACCTGACAAAATTCAAACAACCACTTCTTTTCAGTACTTGGTGATGCAAGTACAAGATAGAGCCTTTAAGCCTCAAAAGGTTCAAATTAGAAGAGATTCTTTAAAAAGCTTAAATGGTTTTCAAAATTGTTAGGAGATATATAAGGATTTGACCCACCTTAGAAATTCCTACTTACGCTATGTCTAATCTTTTCTCAATATTAAGGGGAAATTCCAACGTACATAGTAAAAGAGAACTAACACCCAAGTCCATTAAAGAGTTAAGAGTAATTGAAGAAAAAATTCAACAAACCCAAGACAGTAAAATTCGCTCAGACATGCTTTTACAATTCATTGTGTTCCTTACTTCACACTCCCCAACTGGGGTTATTGTCCAAAGTGAGGATTTAGGTAAATGGTCCTTTGTGCCACATAATACCATAAAAGCACTTATAGTATATTTAGATCAGGTGCCAATTCTAATTAGACCATCTCCTATATGAATTATTAAACTTTGTGACACTGAACCCAATAAGATTATAGTACCAATAAATGAAAATCAGGAAAAACAGGAATTTATTAACTCAGTTGCATGACAAGTTAATTTAGCAAAATTTTTTGGATGTATTGATAATCATTATCCTAAAAATAAAACTTTCCAGTTCTTAAAATTAACTACACAGGTTCTTCCAAAAATTATCCATGATGCCCTTTTGGAAGGAGCTGTGACTGTTTTTACTGATGGGTCTGGTGAAGAAACAAACAAAAAAACCTACAGTCTGGTGGAGACCACATAATCTAATCACTCTATCTCAATTCACTAGCATTCAGAGAGCTGAGGTTATTCTGTTTATTTATTAAGGAAGTTTTACAGCCTTAAGTTCACTCTGGAGCCCACACTGTGTGCTCTTTTTCTTCAACTTCAGCAATTGCTAGACCAAGGTACACATCCTATTTTTATTACACACTTTCAAGCCCACAGCTCTCTGCCTGGCCCATTGGCTTATTGCAATAATCAAGCAGAGCTTCAGGTTATGACATCGCTGCTTGACCAAGCCACCCAATCACATCAATTTTTTCACCAAAATTGGAGAAATGTATCTAAATAATTTCAACTTACACAGAGGCCTGCTAAGCAAATTACGCCTAAAATACCCAGATTACCAGCTCACAGGTACCAGCTCACACGCATCTCTCCTCTTTCAACAGGTGTTAACCCTGGAGGATTGCAACCTATTCAGTTGTGGCAAACAGATGTTAAACACATCCTTAAATTTTGGAAACTAAGATGTGTACATATATCCATTGTTACCAACACTCATCTAATTATTGCACATTAAAAATAAAAATAGAAAAAAGTAAGAAAAAGACTAGAAGAGACAAAAATTAAAGAAAGATACAAAAAGAAAGACTAAGGAAAAAATAAAGTAGGAAGAAAGGAAAGGAAATATTAAGAAAGTTAAAAGAATGTACCTTTAGTAAGGAAAGTTATGAAACAGAAAGTTAAGGCATGTTGAAGATTGTGAAAGTTATGAAAAATGTTATAAAAAGGAATTTATGCAAGGAAGATTTTAGAAGTTTTGTTTTGAGTGTCCAAGCAAGTTTTAAAATGATAATTGTAAAAAATTTTGTAGGTAAATATATTTGCTAAAGTTAAAAAAGGTATCATCCAATTTTTCTATAAACTAAACACTAAAATAAAACACAAATTTTTCTTAAAACACTAACGAGCTCTTAAAGATAGTAAAAAGTCTATGAACACAGGTACCACTCCTAGAATTTCCAGTACCAGCCTGAAGACTATGTGCTCATCAAAGGATGAAAAAAAGAAAAAATATTCAAGCCAGCCTAAAAAAGACCCTACAGGAACTACAGCCTCAACAACGCACCTTCCACAAGCAACACAGGCCCCAGACATTATGCTGAAGAGGCAGAACACTAAGCTAAATAATTTACTCATTTTTAATTCTCTCACTTTGCCTACTGCTTATACCTGCTAAACTTTGTTAAGCTCACATCTTAAATCCGCCTTTATTCTGCCCAGTTATTTTAACAAACACCCCCTTCTCAGCTTCTAATAACGTAACTGCTAGGCTAAAATAAATTAACGTACAAACAGTGGGATTCATTCAGTATGGAGGCTATGATTGCGGTAATTGCTATGGTGGTAAATCTCTCTTTGGCTACAGCAGACCAAAATTATACCTATTGGGCATACGTCCCATTCCCACCTTTAATTAAGCTTGTCACTTTGTTGGAACCCCCGGTTGTGGTTTATGTTAATGATAGTGTTTGGATGCCTAAGCCTAGAGATACTCTTGGGCCCTCTCACCTAGAGGAGAAAGAAATGACAATAAATGTGTCCATAGGTTATCTGTTCCCCCACTCTTTACACAGTGCTGGCTATCAGTTGCCTAAAAGGCTATCAAAAACATTGGCTATTTAAAATTCTAGGTAAATAACCAAAGACAAGTATCCTATCCTTTACTTTCTGGATGGAGCCTGGATCATTCACAGATCTCAGTTCAATTGCAGCAGTTTAAGCCCAGAAAAGAGAGGTGTCAACAATCTCAACAATAGTGAAAACATTTAAAAATATTAGTTTGGGAGGATTGCATCTCTGATCACACTGAGGTACTGCAAAATCATTCCTGTGGAATCATCTTTAATTGGTCCCATAAGGGGATCTTTGCAGTTAATTTTACCAATCAAAATGATAGATGCCAAACAAAACTAAAACAGGAACTATACTATCAAAGAGATGACACTACTTATAATAAAAAAGTGCCCATTTTCTCATAATTTGGACCAACTTTAGTATGGCCAGCCCACATCCAGAAGTGATTAATCCTATAATAGGCCTTGAACATCCCGAATTATGGAAGTTAATAATGGGCAAATCGCGTATTTGGGTTTGGAAAAAAAATTATCTTAAGACGAAAGGTGAGAGACTTCAGTTTGTGTATCAGTTTTCTTCCAACGGAACAGTACCCATTCAGAGTTGTGTCAAGCCTCCTTTTATGTTGATGATCAGAAATCTTAATATTCAATCTAATTCTCAAACTATTTCCTGTCAAAACTGTCAACTTTTCACCTGTATTGATTCCACGTTTGGTGTAAAAACATCTGTGTTGCTGGTGAGGGCTACAGAAGGTGTTTGGACACTAGTTTCCCTCAATAGACCTTGGGAAGCCTCTCCTTCCATTCATATCATCACAGAAATGTTAAAGGGAGTGTTTACCAGAGCAAAAAAAATTATTTTTAACCTTATAGCTGTCATTATGGGACTTAGTGCAGTCACAGCTGCTGCTGCAGCTGCTGGAATTGCTTTACACTCGTCTGTTCAAACTACAAAATAATTGGCAAAAGAATTCCTCAACATTGTGGAATTCTCAGACCTGGATAGACCAACAATTGACAAATCAAATAAATGATATTAGACAGACTGTTATTTGGAAGAGAGATCATATAATGAGCTTAGAACATCGATTGCACATACAATGTGATTGGATTACTTCTGATTTCTACATAACTCCCCATTCGTATAATGCTACTGAACATCATTGGAAAAAAGTTAGACGTCATGTGGAAGAAAGAAATGAAAATTTAGCATTGGATACAGCCAAATTAAAGGAACAGGTTTTTGAAGGGTCTCAGGCTCATTGAACTCTCCTGCCTGGGACTGACATTATCGCTGGAGCTGCTGATGGACTTTCAAATGTAAACCCTCTTAAATGAATTAAGACCACTGGAGGATGAACTATTGCAATCTTTGCTTTAATGTGTATCTGTTTATACTGTTTGCTTTTAGTCTGCAAATGTGGAATACGCCTCTGGAGAAAAACCAGACACAAAGAACAAGCCTTAATAGCAATGGCGGTTTTAAAAATGAAAAAATGGGGGCATGTTGGGAAAAAGGTTTATGGGCTGCCTGTAAAACCTGGCCAAAAATATGAGACAATAAGTTGTGGAAAGACAAGAAGACTCTGAGGAGGAAAGCCTCCTATTTGCCACCCTATTTCCATGCTGTGAGTGAGACTTGCTGCCTTATGTGTAAACACTGTGTTCAAAGAGAAAGACACTCTCTTGATGTAATGGAAAGTGGACAGATTTGCAGGCTCCTAGTTAAGCCTACTCCCACTAGCTACTCTCTGATAAGCTAAAGACATGCTCTTTGAGCACAAAGGAGATGCATTTAAACTGGTACTACTATAGATCACCCCTATGACACACTCACCATTTCACTGTTTTGCCCTGAACATCTGCTCTTATATCTAAGTGACTGTGCTAAATAAATAGTGTGGAGACCAGAACTCTGGGCCTTTTGCAACCTGCTACCATGCATTTGGCCCCCTGGCCCTCAACTTTACTCTTAACTTGTCTCTGGTCAATCCTTTGTCACCACTGGACTTTGGGTACAATACAGGTTGTGTTGAGGCTGGTCCCCAACACCAGATGAAAATTAGAAAGGTGATATCTGTGAATCTGCTTTGGACTGGGTGGATTTGTGATGTGAGATGTGTTGGAAACACCCTTTAATGAGAATCTGCCAAGGGTTATTCGGGAGCCCTTTGGGGCCTACGGGGAAAAACTGAATGTCCCCCAATAAAAATAACGAAGTTATCTGTGAAACGGCCTTGTGATGTGTGGATTCATCTCACAGAGTTAAACCTTTCTTTTGATTCATCATGTTGGGAATACTCTTTTTGTAGAATCTGCAAAGGGATATTTCGCAGCCCATTGAGGCCTGGGGGGAAATCCTGAATATCCCCAGATAAAAATTAGAAAGAAGATTTCTGTGAAACTGCTTTGTGATTTGTGGATTCTTCTCACAGAGATAAAACTTCCTTTTGATTCAGCATGTTGGAGAAACTCTTTTTCTATAATCTGTGAAGGGAAATTTGGGAGCCCTTTGAGGCCTATGGCAAAAAAGAGAATATCCACAGATAAAACAAGAAGGAAGCTATTGGTGAATCTGCTTTGTGCCGTGTGGATTCAACTTACAGAATTAAACCTTTCTTTTGATTCAGCAGGTTGGAAACACTCTTTCTGGAGAATCTGCAAAGGGACATTTGGGAGCCCATTGTGGCCTATGGGAAACACTGAATATCTCTAGATAAAAACAAGAAAGAAGAGGTCTGTGAAACTACTCTGTGATATGTGGATTCATCTCAGAGAAGTAAACCTTTCTTTTGATCCAGCAGTTTGGAAACACTCTTTCTGTAGAACTTGCAAAAGTACGTTTGGGAGCCTATAGAGGTTTAACAGAAAAACTGAATATCACCACAAAAAACTTGAAAGAACATATCTGTTAAATTTATTTGTGATGTGTGGATTAATCTCAGAGAGTTAAAACTTTATTTTTATTCACTAGGTTGCAAACATTCTTTTTGAAACATCTGAGAAGGGACATTAAGCTGCTCAAAGAGGCATATGGGGAAAACCGAACATCCCCTGGTAAAAACTAGAAAGAAGCTATCTGTGAAACTGATTTCTGATGCGTGGATTCATCTAACAGAGTAAAATATCACTTTAGATTCAGCTTGTTGGAAAAACTGTTTTTGGAGGATCTGTGAAGGAAGATTTGGGAGCCCACTCTGGCTTAAGAAAAAAAAAAAACAGAATATCCCCAGATTAAAACCGGAAAGAGGATTTCTGTGAAACTGCTTTGTGATGTGTGGATTGATCTCACAAAGTTAAACCTTTCCTTTGATTCAGAATGTTGGAAACAGACTTTTTTAGAATCTGTGAAGGCACATTTGGGAGCTCATTTAGGTCCATGGTGAAAAATCAAATATCCCCAGATAAAAACTAGAAAGAAGATATCTGTGAAACTGCATTGGGATGTCTGGATTCATCTCACAGGGTTAAAACATTCTTTTGATTAAGCAGTAGGAAACTCTATTTTTGTAGAATCTGTGAAGGGACATTTAAGAGCCCATTGAGGCCTAAAGGGAATAACTGAACATCCCCAGATAAAGACTAGAAAAAAGCTATCTGTGAAACTGTGTTGTGATGTGTGGATTCATCTAACAGTTAAATCTTTCTTTTTATTCAGCAGGTGTGAAACACTCTTTTTGGAGAATCTGCCAAAGGACATTTGAAAGCCTATTGAGGCCTAGGGGAAAAACAGAATATTCCCAGATAAAAACTAGAAAGAAGATGTCTGTGAAACTGCTTTGTGATGTGTGGATTTATCTCACAGAATAAAATGTCACTTTTGATTAAACAGGTTGGAAACCCTCTTTTTATTTTTTTGGTCTTTTTTTTCCTTTTTGAGGAGAACGGGGTCTTGCTATATTTCCCAGGCAGGTTTCAAACTCCTGGGCTCAAGCTATCCTCCCACCTCTTGCCTCCCTGCAATCTGGGATTACAGGCATGAGCCACCACACCCAGCCAAAGTGGAAAGAGCTTGGAAGCTCGGTTGAGGCACCACTGGGATTCGAACCCAGGATCTCCTGTAAACCCTCTTTTTGGAGAATCTGTGAAAGGACATTTTTCAGTCCATTGAGGTATACGGGAAAAAAATATCCCTAGATAAAAACTAGAAAGAAGCTATCTGTGAAACTGCTTTGTCATGTATGGATTCATCTTACAGAGTTAATGTTTTCTTTTGAATCAGCAGGTTGGAAACACTGTCTTTGGAGACTCTCCAAGGGATATTTAGGTGCCCATTAAGGCCAAGGGGAAAAAAATGAATATTCCCAGATGAAAACTAGAATGAAGTTATCCATGAGACTGCTTTGTGACGTGTGGATTCATGTCACAGAGTTAAATCTTTGTTTTCATTCAACAGCTTGGAAACACTTCTTTTGAAGAGTCTGTGAAGGGACATTTGGGAGCTCATGCAGACTTATGGGGAAAAACCTAGTATCCCCAGACGAAAACTAAAAAGAAGGATATATGAAACTGCTTTGTGATGTGTGGATTACATCACACACCACAAAGAGTTAAACCTTTCCCTTGATTCAGCAGGTTGGAAACACTCTTTTTGTAAAATCTACAAAGATACATTTGGGAGTCCAGAGTGGTTTACGGGAAAAACAAAATAACCCCAGAAAAAACTGGACAGTAGTTATCCGTGAAACTTCTTTGTGATGTGTGGATTCATCTCAGAGAGTTAAACCTTTCTTTTGTTACAGTTGTTCTTTTTTATTTTATTTATTTATTTATTTATTTATTGGAAACACACTTTTTGCAGAATCTGCAAAGGGACATTTAAGTGCTCAAAAAGGCCTATGGGGAAAAACAGAATATCTGGAGAAAAACTAGAAAGAAGATATCTGTGAAACTGCTTTGTGATATGTAGATTGATCTCACAGAGTTAAATGTTTCTTCTGATTCAGCAGGTTGGAAACACTTTTTGTAGGATCTGTGAAGGTACATTTGGGAGCCCATAGAGGTTTAAGGGAAAAAAAGGATTATCCCCCCAAAAAACTAGAAAGAAGCTATCCATGAAACTGCTTTGAGATGTGTCTATTAATCTCAGAGAGTTAAACCTTTCTTTTGACTCAGTGGGCTACCAAATATTGGAAACACTCTTTTTGGAGCACCTATGAAGAGACATTTAAGCACTCAAAGAGGCCCATGGGGAAAAAACAAATATCCCTAGACAAAAACTAGAAAAAATCTAACTGTGAAACTGCTTTGTGATGTATGGATTCTTCTCAAGAGCTAAATCCTTCTTTTGATTCAGCAGGTTGGAAACACTTTTTCTAGAATCTACAAAGGGAAATTTGGAAGCTCATTGAAGCTAAAAGGGAACAACTGAATAAACCCAGATAAAACTAGAAAGAAGCTATCTGTGAATCTGCTTTGTGATGTGTGGATTTGTCTTACAGAGTTAAACCTTTCTTTTGATTCAGCAGGTTGGATTCATTCTTTTCAGAGGATCTGCAAATGGACATATTAGTGCTCAAAGGGGTCTATGGGGAAAAATCGAATACACCCAGGTAAAAAATAAAAACTGCCTGTGAAACTGCTTTGTAATGTGTGGAGTCATCTCACAGTGTTAAATTTTTCTTCTTATTCAGCAGGTTGGAAACACTCTTATTGCAGAATCTGCTAAGGGACATTTGTGAGCCCTTTGAGGCCAATAAAAAATGAATATCTCCAGGTAGAAACTAGAAAGAAGCTATCTGTGCCACTGCTTTATGATGTGTGAATTCATTTCAGAGAGTTAACCCTTTCTTTTGATTCAGCAGGATGGAAACACTCTTTTTGTAGAATCTGCAAAGGTACTTTTGGGAGCCCATAGAGGTTTAAGGGAAAATCCAAATATCCCCCTGCCAAAAAAAAAAAAAAAAAAAAAAAACCGGAAAGAATGTATCTGTGAAAGTGCTTTGTGATGTGTGGATTTATCTCAAAGAGCTAAACCGTTCTTTGATTCACCAGGTTGGAAACACTTTTTTAGAGATTCTGTGAAGGGACATTTAAGCACAGGAAGAGGCCTGTGGGGAAGAAATAAATATCCCTAGATAAAAAGTAGAAATAAATTATCATCTGTGAAACTTCTTTGTGATGTCTAGATTATTCTCAAAGAGTTGAATTTTTTTTTATTTATTTAGTACGTTGAAAACACTTTTTTTATTTTTAGAATCTGTGAAGGAAAATTTGGAAGACCTTTGGGGACCTTTGGAGGAACCCAAAAAAACCTTAGATTAAATCTAAACATAAGCTTTCTGTGAAACTGCTTTGTGATGCATAGATTCATCACACAGAGTCAAACCTTTCTTTTGATACACCAGGTTGGAAACACTCTTTTGGCAGAATCTGAGAAAGGATATTTTTGGGCTCATTGAGGCCTATGGGAAAGAAGTGAATATCCCCAGATAAAAACCAGAAAGAAGCTATTTGTGAATTCACTTTGTGAAATGTGGATTCATCTCAGGGAGTTCAATATTTTTTTTGTATTCAGTACGTGTGAAACACTCTTAATGGAGAATATGTGAAAGGACATGTGGGAGTCCTGTAAGGTGTAGGGGAAAAACAAAATATCCCCAGATAAAAACTAGAAAGAAGCTGTCTGTGAAAATTCTTTGTTATGTGTGGATTCATCTAACAGAACTAAACCTCAATTTTGATTCAGCAGGTTTTACACATTCTTTTTGGAGACTGCCAATGGACATTTGGGAGCCCATAGAAGCATATGAAGAAAAACGGAATATCTCAAGATTAAAACCAGAAAGAAACAGTCTGTGAAGCTGGTTTGTGGTGTGTGGATTCATCTTGCAGAATTAATGTTTTCTTTTGAATCAGCAAATTGGAAACACTCTCTTTGGAGAATCTGTGAAAGGACATTTGAAAGCCCATTGACACCTTTGGGGGAAAACAGAATATCCCCACATAAAAACTGGAAAGAGTATCTGTGAAAGTGCTTTGTGATGTGTGGATTCATCTCACAGAGTTAAATGTGTCTCTTGATTCAGCAGGTTGGAAACACTCTTTTTGGAAAATCTGCAAAGGGACATTTAAGAGCTCATTGAGGCCTAAGGGGAATAACCAAATATTCCCAAATGAAAACTGTAAATAATATATCTGTGAAACTGCTTTGTGATGTGTGGATTCATCTCTCAGAGTTAAACCTTTCTTTGATTCAGCAGGTTGGAAACATTTTCTTTCTAGAATCTGCAAAGAAATATTTGGTAGCCTATTGAGGATTATAAAGAGAAACTGAATATTCCCAGGTGAAAACCAGAAAGAAGCTACCTGTGAAACTGCTTTGTTTTGTGTGGATTCATCTCACAGAGTTCAACCTTGGTTTTGATTCAGCAGGTTGGAAACACCCTTGTAGGAGAAATTGAGAAGGAACATTTGAGAGTCCATTGAGGCCTACTGGTTATAACCAAATATTCCCAGATAAAAACTAGAAAGAAGCTCTCTGTGAAACTGCTTTGTGATATGTGGATTCTTTTCACAGTGCTAACCATTTCTTTTGATTCACCAGGTTACAAACACTCTTTTTGTAGAATCTGCTACGTGATAAAAACTAAAAGGAAGCTATTTGTGAGACTAATTTCTGATGTGTTGATTCATATCACAGAGTTAAATCATTGTTTTGATTCAGAAGTAGGGAAATACTCTTTTTGGAAAATCTGTGAAGGGACGATTGGGAGCCCTTTGAGGCCTACGTGGAAAAACTGAATATTTCCAGATAAAAACTGAAATGAAGCTACCTGTGAACATGCTTTGTGACGTGTGGATTCATCTCACAGAGTTGAATCTTTCTTTTGATTCAGCAGGTTGGAAACACTGTTTTCGGAGAATCTGCAAAGAAATATTTTGGAGGCCATGGATGCTGAAGCAGCAAAACCAAATATCCAAAGATAAAAACTAGAAAGAAGTTATCTGTGAAACTGCTTTGTGATGTGTGGGTTCCTCTCACAGAGTTAAGCCTTTGTTTTGATTCACCAGGTTGAAAACACACTTTTTGAGGATCCACGAAGGGACATTTGGGAGCCAATTGAGGTCTGCAGGGAAAAACCGAATGTCCCTGGATAAAAACTGGAAATCAGCTGTCTGTGCAACTGTTTTGGGATGAGTGGGCTCATCTCACAGAGTTAACACTTTTCTGTGATTCAGCAGGATAGAAACACTCGTTTTCTAGTATCTGCGAAGGGAAATTTGGGACACCTTTGGGGTCTGTGGTTAAAAATTGAATATCCTCAGATAAAAGCTAGAAATAAGCTATCTGTGAAACTGCTTTATGATGTGTGAATTCATCTCACAGAGGTAAAACTATTTTTGATTCAGCAGATTGGAAACACTCTCTTTGTAGAATCTGTGAAGGGACATTTTGTAGCCTATTTAGGCCTACGGTGAAAAACCAAATATCCCCAGGTAAAAACTGCAGACAATATATCTGTGAAATTGCTTTGTGATGTGTGGATTCTTCTCACAGAGTTAAACCTTTCTTTTTATTCAGCAGGTTGGAAACACTCACTTTATAGAATCTGTGAAGGAATAATTGGGAGCCTATTGAGGCCTATGGGGAAAAACCAAATATCTCCAGATAAAAAACTAGAATGAAGCTATCTGTGAAACTGCTTTGTGATGTGTGGATTAATCTCATAGAGTTAAAACTTTTTCTGATTCAGCTGGCTAAAACAATCTTTTTGTAGTATCTGTGAAGGGACCTTTGGGTTCCCAGTGAGGCCTATTTGGAAAAACAGAATATCCCCAGTTAAAATCTAGAAAGAAGCTATCTGTGGAACTGTTTTGTGATGTGTGCATTCATCTCAGAGTTATAACTTTCTTTTGACTCAGGAGGTTGGAAACAGTCTTTTTGGAGAATCTGTGAAGGGTCATTCAGGAACCCATTGTGGCCTACTTGAAGAAACTGAATATCCCCAGACAAAAACTAGAAAGAAGCTCTGTGTGAAATTGCTTTGTGATGTTTTAAGTAAAAAAGGTAAACCTACCTGTGAAACTGCTTTGTGATGTGTGGATTAATCTCATGGATTTAAACCTTTCCTTTGAATCAGCAGATTGTAAACATTTTATTGGAGAAACTGCAAAGGGACAATTGGGAGCCTATTAAAGGCTGAAGGTTGGAAACCCTCTTCTTGGAAAATCTGCACAGGAATGTTTGGGAGCCCATTGTGACCTATGGGAAAAAAACCAAGTATCTTCAGATAAAAACTAGAAGTTTCCTTCTGTGAAAATGCTATGTGATATATGGATTCATCTTATAGAGTTAAAACTTTCTTTTTGTTCATTAGGTTGGAAACACTCTTTTTGAAGAATCTTTGGAAGGAGGTTAGGGAGCCCATTGAGGCCTATGGGGAAAAACTGAATATACCCAAATACAAACCAGAAAGAAGCTCTCTGTGAAACTGCTTTGTGATGTGTGGATTCATCCCACAAAATTAAACCTTTCTTTTGTTTCAGCAGCTTGGAAACACTGTTTTTGGAGAATCTGCAAAGGGACATTTTGGAGTCCATTTCAACCTATGGGGAAAAATAGAGTATCCCAAGAAAAAAACCAAAATAATGAAATATGTGAACCTCACTGTTCTGTGTTAATTCATCTCGGTTAGTTAAACCTTTCTTTTGATACAGCAGGCTGAAAAGTCTTTTTGGAGAATCTTCAAAGGGACATTTTGAGCCCATTGTTACCTTCGGGGAAAAAAAAAACAGAAAAAAAAAAACAAGCTATGTCTGAAACAAATACGTGATGTATGGACTCATCTTACAGAATTAAACCTTCCTTTGTTTCAGCAGGATGTAAGCACTTTTCTTGGAGAATCTCTGAAGGGACATTTGGGATCCCAGTGAGGCTTATTGGGCAAAACAAAATATCCCCAGATAAAAACCAGAAAGAAGCTTTCTGTGAAGCTGCTTTGTGATGTGTGGATTGGTTTTACAGAGTTAAACCCTTCAATTTTATTCAGTAGGTTGGAAACACTATTTTTGGAGGATCTGTGAAGGGACACTTGGGAGCCCTTTGAGGCCTAAAAGGAAAAATTGAATTTCCCCAGAAAAAAAAAAATTCAAAGAAGCTGTCAGTGAAACTGCTTTGTGATGTGTGCATTCGTCTCACAGAGTTTAGTTTTATTTTGATTGAGCAGGTTGGAAACACTCTTTTTGGAGAATCTGCAAGGGGATATTTGTGAGCCCATTGAGGCCTATGGTAAAGAAATGAATATCCCCAGTTAAAAACTACAAACGAGTTATCTGTGAAACAGCTTTGTGATATGTGGATTCATCTTTTAATTTTCATCTTTTATTTTGATTCAGCAGGTTGGAAAAAATTTTTTTGGAGAATATGTGAAGGGACATTTTGGAGCCCAATTAGTCCTATGGAGAAAAATCGAATATCCCAAATAAAAAGTAGAAATAAGCATCTATAAAACTGTTTTGTGAATGTGGATTCTTCTCATAGTGAAAACATTTCTTTTGAGTCATCACAGAAATACTATTTCCTTAGAATCTGCGAAGTGAAATTTGGGAGCCCATTGAGGCCTAAGAAGAAAACCTGAATATCCAAAGATAAAAATTAGAATGAAGTATCTATAAAGCTGCTTTGTGATGTGTGGATTTTACAAAAGAGTTAAACCTTTCTTTTGATTCAGGAGGTTGGAAACGCTGTTTTTGTAGAATCTGTGAAGGCACATTTGACAGCCCATTGAGGCCTAAGAAGAAAAACTGAATATTCACAGATAAAAACTGAAAGAATCTGTCTGTGAAACTGCTTTGTGACCTGTTGATTCATCTCACAAAATGAAACTTTTCTTTTAATTCAGCAGGCTGTAAACTGTCTTTTTGAAGAACTTGTGAAGGGACAATTGAGAGCCCATTGATACCTATGGAGAAAAAGCAAATATTCCCAGATAAAAACTGAAAGAACCTTTCTGTGAAACTGGTTTGTGTTGTGTTGATTCATCTCACAAAATTAAACCATTCTTTTAATTCAGCAGGCTCTAAACAGTCTTTTTGAAGAATCTGTGAAGGGACATTTTAGAGCCCATTGAAGACAATGGAGAAAACCTGAGTGTCTGCAGATAAAAACCAGAAAGAAGCTGTCTGTGAAACTTCTTTGTGAAGTCTGGATTCATCTCACTTTTGTAAACTTGTCTTTTGATTCCTCAGGTTGGAAATATTCTTTTTTGGCGAATCTGTGAAGAGTTATTTGGGAGCCCATTGAGGCCTATAACAAATAATCAAATGTCTCCAGATAAAAACTAGAAGGAACCTATCTGTGAAATGGCTTTGTGATGAGTGAATTTTTCTCACAGAGGTAAATTTTACTTTTTATTCATTGGGTTGGAAACACTCTTTTTGTAGAATTTGCAAAAGAACAATTAAGAGCCCACTGAAAACTAAGGGGAAAATTGAACATCAGAAGATAAAAGCTAAAATGAAGCTATGTGTGAAACTGTTTTGTGATGTGTGCATTCATTTCACAGAGATAAAACTTTCTTTTCATTCAGCAGCTTGGAAAAGCTCTTTTTAGAAAATCTGCAATGGGACATTTGGGAGCCTATTGAAGCCTGTGGGGAAAAACAGGATATCCCCAGATAAAAACTTGATAGAAGCTATCTGTGAAACTGCTTTGTAATGTGTGGATTCATCTCACATAGTTAAATCTTTCATTTGTTTCAGCAGGTTGGAAACACTTTATTTAGAGGATAAGTGAAGGGATATTTTAGATCCCATTGAGGCGTAAGGGGAAAAATAATATATCCCCAGGTAAAAACTAGAAACAAGCTGTCTGTGAAACAGCTTTGTGAGGTGTGGATTCTTCTCACAAAGTTAAGACTTCTTTTCAGTAAGCAGGTTGGGGACAGTCTTTTTAGAGAATGTACAAAAGGACATTTTGGAGCCCATTTAGGTCTATGAAAAAAAAAATCCCAAGATAAAAATTAGAAAAACACTATCTGTGAAACTGCATTGTGATGTGTGGATTCTTCTCACAAAGATAAATATTTATTTTGATTCAGCAGGTTGGAAACACTCACTTTGGAGAATCTTCAAAGGGACATTTGGAAGCCCTTTGAGGCATATGGGGAAAACTGTGTATCTCCAGATATAAACTACAAAGAAGCTACCTGTAAAATTGCTCTGTGATCTGTGGATTCACCTCACAGAATTAAACCTTTTTTTTCCAGCAGGTTGGAAACACTTATTTTGTAGAATCTGTGAAGGAACATTTTGGGGCCCATAGAGATCAATAATTAAAAATGAATATCCCCAGATAAAAACTAGAAAGAAAGTATCTGTGAAGCTGCTTTGCGATGTGTGGATTCATCTCACAGAAGTAATGCTTTCTTTTGATTAAGTAGCTTAAAAGCACTTTTTTTGGAGTATTTTCGAAGGGACATTTTGGGACCCATTTGTCCCTATATGATAAAACCGAATATCCACAGAAAAAAAAAACTAGAAAGGAGCTATCTGTGAAACTGCTTTGTGATGTGTGCTTTCACCTCACAGAGTTTTACCTTTATTTTGATTCAGCAGATTGGAAATACTGTTTTCAGAGAATCTGCAAGAGGACATTTTGGAGCTCATTGAGGACTATAAGTAAACACAGAATATCCCCAGATAAAAAGTAGAAAGAGGCTATCCGTGAAACTGTTTTGTTTTGTGTGTATTTGTCTCACATAGATAAACTTTTCTTTTGCTCCAGCAGGTTGGAAACACTCTTTTTCTAGAATCTGCTAAGGGACATTTGAAAAGCCATTCAGGCCTATGGGGAAAAATGAATATCCCTTGATAAAAAGTAGAAAGAAGCTCTCAGTGAAACTTCTTTGTGATGTGTGGATTCATCTCAGAGTGTTCAACTTTTGTTTTGATTCAGCAGGTGTGAAACACTCTTTTTGTAGAATCTGCAAAGAAACATTTTAGATCCTATTGAGGCCAATGGGGAAAAAACAAATATTCCCAGATAAAAAGTAGAAAAGGGCTATCTGTGAAACTTCTTTGTGATGTGTGGTTTCACTTCACAGTGTTAAATGCTTCTTTTGATTCAGCAGATTGGAAGCACTCTTTTTGTAGAATACGTGATAAAATATTTAGGAGCCCATTGAGGCCTATGGAGAAAAACAGAATATCCTGAGATAAAACTAGAAACTGCTTTGTGGTGTGTCCACTCATCTCACAGAGTTAAAACCTTCTTTTAATTCAGCAGCATAAAAATACTGTTTTTATAGAAACTGCAAAGGGACATTTGGGAGCCTGTAGAGGTTTAGGAAAAAAATGAATATCCCAGTTGAAAAGTAGAAAAAAGATCTCTGTGAAACTGCTTTCTGATGTGTAAATCATCTCAGAGAGTCAAATCTTTCTTTTGATTCCAGAGGTTGGACACACTCTTTTTGGACAATCTTCAAGGGGACATTTTGGCACTCAAAGAAACCTATGTGGAAAAACTAAATATCCACAGATGGAAACTAGAAAGAAACTATCTGTTAAATTGCTATGTAATGTGTCAATTCATCTCACAGAGTTAAAGCTTTCTTTTGCTTCAGCAGTTTGGAAACACTGTAATTGGACAACCTGCAAAAGGGACATTTTGGAGTTCCTTGAGGCCTATGGGGAAAATCTGAATATCCCCAGATTAAAACTTGAAAGAAGCTATTTATGAAACTGCTTTGTGATATGTGTATTCATCTCACAGATTTAAAGCTTTCTTTTCATTCAGCAGATTGGAAGCACTTTTTTTTAAGAATATGGGAAGGTACATTTTAGATCCCATTGATGTCCAAGGGGAAAAACAGAATATCTTAGATAAAAACTAAAAGAAACTAGCCATGATCCTTCTTTTTGATGTGGGATACATGTCACTGAATTAAACCTTTCTTTTTATTCTACAGGTTAAAAACACTATGTTGGAGGCTGGGTGTAGTGGCTCATGCCTGTAATCCCAGCACTTTGGGAGGCCAAGGCAGGCAGATCACGATATCAGGAGATTGACACCATCCTGGCTAGCAGAGTGAATCCCCATCTCTACAAAAAACCAAAACCAAAACCAAAACCCCCCAAAACAAAACAAAACAAAACAAAACACTATGCTGGAGAATATGCAAATGAGCATTTGGAAGCCCATTGATGCCTATTATTGAAATGCAAATATTCCCAGATAAAAACTAAAAAGATGCTATCTGTGAAAGTGTGTTTTGATGTGTAAATGCATCTCATAGAGTGAAACATTTATTTAGATTCCGCAGGTTGGAAATACTTCTTTCAGAAAATCTGCATAGGGATATTTGGGAGTCCATTGAGGCCAAAGGGGAAAAACCAAATATCTTAAGAAAAAAACTGGAAAGAAGCTACTTGTGGAACTGTTTTGTGATGTGTGGATTCATTTTTCAGAATTAACCTCTCTTTTGAATAAGCAAGTTGGAAACACTCTTTTTGTAAAATCTGTGAAGGGATATTTGGAAGCCCATTGAGGCCTATGGGGAAAAACTGAATATCCCCATATAAAAACTGGAAAGAAGATATCTGTGAACTGATTTTTGAAGCTTTGATTCAACTTACAGAGTAAAAGTAGTCTTTTGTTTCAGCAGTTTGAAAACTGTCTTTGTGGAGAATCTGAGAAGGGATATTTGGGAGCCCACTGTGGCCTATGGAGAGAAACAAAATATCTCCAGATAAAACCTAGAAAGAAGCTATCTGTGAAAATTCTTTGTGATGTGTGGATTCCTCTCACAGAGTTAAACCTTTCTTTTGATTCAGCAGCTTGGAAACACTCTTTTTGGAGGATCTGCAAAGGGACAATTTGGTGCTCAAAAAGGTCTATGGGGGAAAACTGAATACCCCCAGTTTAAAAAAATGGAAAGAACCGATCTGTGAAACTGTTCTGTGATGTGTGGACTCATCTCACAGAGTTAAAAGTCTCTTTTGTTTCAGCAGGTTGGAAACACACTTTTTGGAGAATCTACAAAAGGTCATTTAGGAACCCTTTGTGGCCAATGGGTAAACAGTACAAATATCCCTAGATAAAAACTAGAAATAAGTTATCTGTGAACTGCTTTGTGATGTGTAGATTCTTCTCACAGAGTTAAATCTTTTCATTCCACAGGTTAGAAACACTCTTTTTCTAGAATCTGCAAAGGGAAATTTGGGAGGGCATTGAGGCCTATTGGGAAAAAGTGATTATTGCCATATAAAACTAGAAAGAAGCTCCATGTGAAACTGCTTTGTGATGAGGGGATTCATCTCATAGTGTTAAACCTATCTTTTGATTCAGCAGGTTTGAAACATGGTTTTTGGAGACTGTGCAAAGAGACATTTAGGAGCCCATTAAGGCACATGGGAAAAAATAGAATATTCCCAGATAAAAACTAGAAAGAAGCTTTCTTTGAAACTACTTTGTGATTGGTGTGTTCATCTCATGGAGTTAATCCTTTCTTTTAATTTGGCTAGTTGAAACAGTCTTTTTGCAGAATTTGTGAAGGGACACTGGGGAGCATACATGAAGCATACGTGAAAAAACTGAATATTCCCAGATAAAAAGTACTAAGAAGCTATCTGTGAAACTCTTTTGTGATGTGTGGATTCATCTCACAGAGTTAAATCTTTCTTTTGATTCATCATGGTGAAAACACTCTTTTTGCAGAATCGGTGAATGGACGTTTGCGAAGTCCCTGAGGCCTACAGGAAAAAATCGAATATTTCCAAATTAAAAATTAGAAAGAAACTATCTGTGAAACTGCTTTATGATGCGTCTATTCATCTCAGTGAGCTATACCTTTCTTTTGATTCACCAGGTTGGAAACACTATTTTTGGAGAATTGGCACTAGGGAAATTGGGAGCCCGTTGATGGCTATGGAAAAAAACTGAAAACCCCAGATGAAAATTTGAAAGAAGCTATCTGTGAAACTACTTTGTGATATGTGGATTCATCTCAGAGAGTTAAACCTCTCCTTTGATTGAAAATGATGGAAACACTCTTTTTGTAGATTTTGTGAAAGGGCATATGGGAGCCCATATAGGTTTAGGAATAAAAAGAAATATCCCCAGATAAAAAGTAGAAAAAAAGCAATCAGTAAAACTTCTTTGTGATGTGTGGATTTGTCTCATAAGGGTAAACCTTTCTATCAATTCAGCAGGTTAGAAACACTATTTTCGTGTAATCAGTGAAGGGACATTTGGGAGCCCATTGAGGTCTATGGGGAAAAAACAAATATCTTCAGATAAAAATGGGAAAGAAGCTTTCTGTGAAACTGCTTTGTGATGTGTGGATTTATCTCACAGAGTTAAATCTTTTTTTGATACAGCAGATAGGAAACATTCTTTTTGGAAAATCTGTGAATGGATATTTGTGAGCCCAATGTGGCCTATGGGAAAAACCTAATATACCCCAATAAAAACTAGAAATAATGTGTCTGTGAAACTGCTTTGTGATGTGTGGATTCATCTCACAAAGTTAAAACTTTCTTTTGATTTAAAATTTGGTAAACACTCTTTTTGGAGAATCTGCCAAGGGATATTTGACAGCCCATTGAGGCCTATTAGGAAAAACTGAATATCCCCAAATATAAAGCACAAGGAAGCCATCTGTGAAAATGCTTTCTGATGTGTGGATTCATTTTGCAAAGTTAAACCTTTCTTTTGATTCAGCAGATTGGAAACACTCCTATTGGAAAATGTGAAAAGGGGCATTTTGGAGCTTATTTGGCTTATGGTGAAAAACTGAATATCCCCAGATAAAAACTAGAGGGAAACTATCTGTGAGACTGCTTTGTGATATGTGGATTCATCTCACAGAGTTAAGGTTTCCTTTTTATTCAGTAAATTTACAACACTCTTTTTGGAGAATCTTCGAAGGTACATTTTGGTGACTGTGAGGCCTAAGGGGAAAAATTGATTATCCCTGGATAAAAACTAGAAAGAAGCTATTTGAGAAACTGCTTTGTGATGTGTGGATTCACCTTACAGGGGTAAAACTTTCTTTTGATGCAGCAGTTTGGGACCACTCTTTTTGTAGAATCTATAAAGGAATATTTGGGAGTCCATTGAGCCCTATGGGGGAAAACTGAATATACCCAGATAAAAACTAGAAAGAAGCTATGTGTAAAATGTAGTTGTGCTGTTTGACTCATCTCACAGTCACAGTGTTAAACCTTTCTTTTGATTCAGCTCGTTTGAAACAGCCTTTTTGAAGAATCTGCAAAAGGACATTTGGGAGCCCATTGAGGCTTAAAGGTAAAAATAAAATATTTCCAGATAAAAACCAGGAAGAAGCTATCTGTGAAACTGCATTCTGATGTGCAGACTCATCTCACAGATTTAAATCTTTCTTTTGATTCAGAAGTTGTAAACACTCTTTTTGGAAAATCTGAGAAGGGACATTTGGGAGCACATTGAGGCCCAAAGGGATACACGAAATATCCCCAGAAAAAAACTAGAAAGAAGCCATCTGTGAAACTGCTTTTGACGTGTGGATTTATTTGGCAGCGATAAACTTTTCTTTTGATTCAGCAGTTTGGAGACAACCTTTTTGTAGAATATGTGCAGGGACATTTGGGAGCTTATTGAGGCCTGTAGGTAAAAACAGAATATCCCCAGATACAAAGTAGAAAGAAGCTATCTGTGAAACTGCTTTTTGATGTGTGGATTCAGCACATAGAGTTAAACATTCTTTTATTCAGCAGGATGGAAACACTCTTTTTGGAAAATCTGTGAATGGATATTTGGGAACCCTTTGAGGGGTATGGGAAAAAATCGAATATTGCAAGATTAAAACTAGAAAGAAGTTAACTGTGAAACTGCTTTGTGATGTGTGGATTTATCTCAGAGTTAAAACTTTATTTTGATTCTGCTGGTAGTAAACACTATTCTTGGAGGATCTGTAAAGGGACATTTGAGAGCCCATTGAGGCCTAT